>NW_025791818.1:154929-309858 GCF_000001405.40 Homo sapiens | reverse complement strand
GTTCAGATCTTTGCCTATTTTCATGTTTTTTCTGTCGTTGAACTTTAAGAATTCGTGTATGTTGTAGAGATATGTTCTTTATCACATATGTGTACCACCGATGTTTTCTGCTAGTCTGTGGCTTCTGTTTTCATTCTCTTAACATTGTCCTTTGAAGAGCACATGATGTTTATTTTAATAAAATCTACTTGGTAAATTTTTCTTTCATTGATCATGCTTTTGGTGTTGAATTTAAAAACTCACCACTGAACTCAAAGTTATGTGAATTTTCTCTTATGTTTTCTTATAGAGGGTTGTATAGTTTTTGCATTTTGCATTAGGTCTGTGATTTATATCGAGTTAATTTTTCTGGAATATGTAAGGATGTTTCTAGGTTATTATAATTTGCCTGTAGATGTCTAATTGTTCAGGCACCTTTTGCTGGAAAAACTGTACTTTCACCATTATTGCCTTTGTTGTGAATCACCTGACTATAAGTGTGCAGGTCTATTTCTGAGCTCTATTCTGTTTTATTAATCTATGTGTGCATTCTTTGCTAATGCTTATGTCCTCCACCAAATTCATACTTTGAAGCCCTCAGCCCCGGGGTGTCTGCATTTGGAGATGAGGCCTCTAAGGAAGTAATTAATATTAAAAGAGGTCATAAGGGTGGGGCCTCGATCCCATAGGATTAGTATGGTTATAAGCAGTTAGAAGAGACAGAAGAAATTACTTGTGTGCCTGCACTAGCTCTCTCTCTCTCTCTCTCTCTCTGCACATGCACAGAGGAAAGGCCAAGAACGGATATATTGAGAAAGGGCTATCTACAAGCCAGGAATAAGGCCGTCACCAGAAACCAACCCTGCCAGTCCTTGATCTGGGACTTCCATACTTCAAAACTGTGAAAAAAAATAAATTTGTTTTGTTTCAGCTACTCAGTCCATGGCATTTTGTTAGGGCAGCCTGAGCTTACTAAGACATAACCTCAGGTAACACAATTTTTTTTTGTTTTCTCCTACAGAAAAAAAAAAAACCCATAATTTTGACATTTAAGTCTGTGGTTCATTTTGAGTTACATTTTTGTATGGTGTAAGATATGTGCGATGGTTAGTATTATGTGTCAACTTGTCTAGGCTATAGTGCTCAGCCGTGTGGTCAAACAGTAGTCTAGATGTTGTTGTGAAGGTATTTTGTAGTTGTGATTGACATTTACCATCAGTTGACTTTAAGGGAAGCAGTTTAATCTCCATAATGTGGATGGGCCTCATCCAGTTAGTTGAAGGTGTTAAGAGAAAAGACTAAGGTTTCCTGGAAAAGGAATTCTACCGCAAGACTAACATAAAAATGTTGTGTGAGTTTCTAGCCTGCTGGCCTGCCTCACAGATTTGGGATATACAAGACCTCATAATCACATGAGATAATTCCTTATGAAACCTTTATCTTTCTTTCTCTCCCTCCCTTTTTACATAGATAGATATGTAGGTAGGTAGCTAGATAGATAGATAGACAGGAAGAAAGCAATTACGGATTGAAATTCAGTTTTGCATATAGATATCCAGTTGTTCTAGACCCAGTTGAATACACTATCATTTCTCTCCTCGAATCTTCATTTGTATCTTTATCAATATTTGACTTATATATATATGCATATACATGTGGATCCATTCCTGGACTTTACTCTCTTCTTTTTATGTGTTTCTAAATTTAGGACAATTCCACACTATACTGATTATTGTTAGTTAATAAACCTTCAAATGAAGTAGGGGAACCCCTCTGTATTTATTCCTTTTCACACAGCTGATAAAGCATACCAGAGACTGGGAATGTTACAAAAGAAAGATGTTTATTGGACTTGCAGTTCCACGTGGCTGGGTAGGCCTCACAATCATGGTGGAAGGCAAGGAGGAGCAAGTCACGTCTTACATGGATGGCGGCAGACAAAGAGAGAGAGAGCTTGTACAGGGAAACTGCCGTTTTTAAAACCATCAGATCTCTTGAGACTTATTCACTATCACGAGAACAGTATGGGAAAGACCCAACCCCATGATTCAATTATCTCCCACTGGGTCCCTCCCACAACATGTGGGAATATTGGGAGCTACAAGATGAGATTTGTGTGGGGACACAGAGCCAAACAATATCATTCCACATGTGGCCCCTCCCAAATCTCATGTCTTCACCTTTCAAAACCAATCCTGCCTTCCCAACAGTCCCCCAAAGTCTTAACTCATTTCAGCGTTAACGCAAAAGCCCACAGTCCAAATCTTGAGAAGTTGTCAAAGGACACTCAGTTTTCTTCAGTTAATAATGTAAAAGGACTGCACTGACGTGGTTAAATTCCCAGGACTCTCAGTTCTTTAGGAATGGACTAAATATCTGGTATCGTCACTTACAAAAGTGTCTTGAACTTGATATAGTTTATGTTCAGAAATTGGTTCATATTTTTTATTTTTATCTTTTAATTCAATTTTTTTTCATGAGCTTTTTGAAGGCCCCCGGATATGCACCCTGTATAAAGGAGAAAAATTCTCGGGACTACTAATTTTGACCGAAATTATTGTTGATTTAATTTATACAAACACAAAAGGTGATACAAACATTTTTATAGCACCTAATGAACATATTTGTGAAATAAATGCATTCAAAAACAAACTAAAACAGAAAAGAATAAAAATATACAATAAAATAGTACACAGCAGGTTGCTGATTGTGGTGACCTCTGAGGTGCGGGCTGAATTGTGGAGGAACTTTATACAGAGAAGAATTGTGAATTATCTGTATTTTAGATTTCTTTTGCAACAAGAATATAGGCACAATTATCTTTTAAATTACAATATCTAAATAAGCCTAACAGCAAAAATAGTAGCTGTGTATTAGTCAGTTAAAGTAACTGAAGTAACTGCTAGCTGATGCAATAGGCAAACCCTGGAATTTGAGTGACATGACAAAACACAAGTTTATTTAATGTGCACATGAGTCCTGATGTGGTTTGACAGGGCCTCTCCACTCTCCCGTGACCCAGGTATCCAGGCAGCTTCCACCTCGGGATTCCACCACCTCAACATGAGGCTGCCATGTTTACTATTAGATGGAGGGAGAAAGCATGGAAATGGCACACTGGCTCTCAGATGTCTAGATGTGACAAACAATGCTTCTGCTCATGTTTCAGTGGTAAGGGGTTGTCACATGACCCTTCCTAACTACAAGTGGACTGTACTGTTCCCATGTATCCAGGAAAGAGAGGAAGATGAGATGTGGGTGAGCACTATAGTCTCTCCCATAAACTGTTGCATAGTAGGTGCTCAACAAAAAGGAACTATTATTATTTGCTATGACAACAGCCCTCTTCATTGCTGGGAGGAGTTTCGGAGAAAACCAGATTTTCTTTACGTTCTCCAACTTTTTTTAAGTGTGTACTGTATGACAGATGCTTTCAAATACAGGATCACATGTAGTTTTCTAAGGATCCAGTATACCTCAGCACCTCGTGTGATATACTAACTTCTTCACTCACTAGTATAGTTAGATATACTAACTATCTTCACTTACTAACACTTTTCTGCACTGTCATTTGCAATAATGTCTGAAACCTTAGTAGGCTGAGAATTTCTCATTCTTTTAATTCATGGGTAAAACCTCAACCTGTGGGTCTCTGCTACCCTCCTGTTACCTGAACGTCTGTTCAGATGCCATTAGACACATTGAAAGCTATGTCTTTCCTGTGGGGCAGATCCACAGACCAGAAGTAGTGCCAAGAGAGTTCTTTTTTTCATTTCTGATTTTTTTTCCATTTCTAATCAGAGCTAGCATGCCTACCGAGGAACCACTTTTCGTCTCCTAGGAGAACTTTAGGGTTTTAGGAATTCAGCTTCAGTAGATATTTGCCCCACAGTGATTTTGACAGTCCTTCCTCATCTGTCACTTATGAAGGAGATGCTGTGAACTGAACTGTGCCCCCACCCCCACCAAAACTCATATGTTGAAACCCTAAGACCCAGTGTGATGTATCTGTAGATGAGGCCTTTGGACGTAATTAGAGTTAGATGAGGTCATTAAGGTGGAACCTTCGTGATGGGATTACCGCTCTTATAAGAGACATCAGAGAGCTTGCTCGCATTCTCTCCTTCTGCCATGTGCAGACACACAGAGAAGGTAGCTGTCTACAAGCCAGGAAGAGACCCTCACCAGGCATCAAACCTGCTAGAACCTTGATCTCAAACTTCCCAGCCTCCAGAAATGCGAGAAACATCTACCTATTTGTTTAAGCCACCCAGTGGTACTTTGTTATGGTACTTTGTTATGGCAGCCTGAGCTAATACAAGAGGCTTTGGCTTTTGACCATCTATGTATGTGCTCTGTGGCCAGTTTCCAATGAGACAGCTTATTAAAGTCCTATTGTAAATATAGGATGGTTTCAAACACTTTCTAACTTCAGGGTTGTATCCCAGGAACTGATATATTATAAGTCAAAATCAGACGCTACTCACCAGCTGACTTGGAAAACATTTTAAGAATGTGTTGAAGACATCCAACAGGATGATCAGATGTCTGAAGGTCTCTATTCAAAGTCAAATGTATTTTTGCTATTAGAGGGGCCCCAGTGTGAGGAACAGGGACAGTCAGGGGACTTCTCCAGAAAGTAGAACTGTTCTATGTTAGGAGAAGGGCAGGTGACTCTTGGCTGTCCCACTGGAAGTAGGGCACAGCCTTTAAAGGATGCAACCATGAAGAGCTTAGCAGCAAGCTCGATTCCAGAATTGGACAGGCAGGCACATGGGGCAAGACCATTGTGGAAGGGTGCTATAATTCGGGAAAGTGCTGGGAATGCACAGAAATGCTGGCACCTGGACAGAGTTGGCTCTCAAGGAACCACAGACGATTCCTAAATTGTGTTGGTTCTCATTGTCACCTTCCTTCATGTCTTAGTCATTTCATGCTGCTGTAACAAAATGCTATAGACTGGGGGTCTTACACAACAGATGCTTATTTTCTCCCAGTTCTGGAGGCTGGGAAGCCAAAAGTCAGAATGCCAGTATGGTGGGTGTCTGGTGAGGGTCTTCTTTCTGGCTTATGGATGCCCACCTTCTCTGTGAGTCCTCACATGGCAGAGAGAGAAAGAGAAAAATGTGCAAGCTCTCTGGCATTTCTTCCTATAAGGACACTGATATGGTCTGGATCAGTGTCCCCACCAAATCTCACGCTGAATTGTAATCCACAGTGTTGGAGGTGGGGCCTGGTGGGAGGTGATTGGATCATGGGGGCAGATTTCTCATTAATAGTTTAGTACCATCACCTTGGTACTGTGCTCATGATAGTGAGTGATTTCTCACGACATACGGTCATATAATAGTGTGTGGCAATGCCCCCCCCGTCTCTCTTGCTCCTGCTTTCACCAAGTGAAGAGCCTGCTCCTTCTTTGCCTACTGCCATAAGTAAAAGCTCCCTAAGGCCTCTCCAGAAGCAGATGCTGCCACGCTTCCTGTACATCCTGCAAACCGTAAGCCAATTAAACCTATTTTTTTTTAATAAATTACCCAGTCTCAGGTATTTTTTTATAGCAACGCAAGAATGAACGAATACAGACATTAATCCAATCATGAGGGCCTACGCTCTCAGGAGCTCATCTAACCCTAATTACCTCCCAAAGGCCCCATCTCCAGACCATCACATTGGGACTTAGAGCTTCAACATATACATTTTTTTTTTTTTTTGGAGGGGAGCACATTTCAGTCCATAGCACTTCTTTAGGCATACTTTTTGTAGCTTGACCACAGGGTCCTTCTTTTGGTTGCCTGAGAGACGTGGATTCCTGAGAAGTAAATAGCAAGACGAAGGTCTGCTTCAGGTTGGGACGAGAAGGAATGACATACACTCAGATGAATTCGGACCATGTGTATTAGTTTGCTTTGGCTATCATAACAAGGTACCACAGACTGGGGGAGCTTAAGCGTCAGAAATGTATTTTCCCAGTCCCGGAGGCTACAAGTTCAGGCTCAAGGTGTGGGCAGGGTTGAGTTGTCCTGAGGCCTGTCTCCTTGACTTGTAGATGGCCATTCTCTTCCTGTGTCTTCACATGGTCTTTCCTCTGTGTGTGTCTGTGTCCTAATGTCCTCTTCTTATAAGGACACCAGTCATATTGGATTGGGGCCCATCCTAATCTAGCAGGGATGCAATCCCAACCGTGTTGCTTATTAGCCATGTAATTATGGGGAAATCATCAAGCCGCATGAGCATCAGGTTCTTCATCTGTGAAGCAGGTTTGATAAAGTCTGTCTTATAGGACTTTTGGAGTGTGTGCAATGTAAGTAAAGCACTTGGCTCAGGGCCTGGCATATATTAGATCGTTAATGTTTGGCAGTTATTTGTGTTACTATTTGGAACTCAGATCCTACCATAGTTGCCTCTGGGAATTTTGTTGTTGCTGTTGTTATTGTTATCTAGGAAACCTCAGAGTACGTAGCACAACAGTACAGAGAATAGAATACCAACTCAGCCCAAAGTGTTGCTTCATAGACAAAACACAGTAGAATTTCCCTCCTAGAGGATCTATTGTTTAATTTGTGTGTGGAGGAGTCTTCTTCAGCTGGATTGCAGCTCAGTGTTCCTGGAACGTGAGTCCAGGACCAACTCTTTTCCTCCCTCTCAGCTGCTTTTCCATCTCAACCACTATTTTCATTCATATAATCACCACGCAAAATCTAGCCCATGCTCAGGAATGGCCAAATTACACTTGAGATAACCTAATTAGAATGCCATTTGACTAGAGTCAGCTCTAGCTCTCCCACTAAGGCAGAAGAGTACCTTGCCAGTGGCTTCTGGGCCTCCCTTCCTGAGAGATTCACCCTTACCTCCCAGGAAACCCTTGCAGATGATGAGTATCCATCACCTAGCTCTTGGGCTGTATTCAACCGCACTGGGATAAGAGCACAGGATGCCTTCCATTCCTGCCCCAGGTGGAAACTCGTCTATGTTCATCCACCAACCATAATGAACTGCTCAGAGCAGTTTTCCATTCCAGGCTTTTCTCTCCCTGAGAATCTGACCCTGGACCCACCAGCTTCATTAGAATCAGCTTCCTCCGAAGGAACTGCAGTTTCCCAAAGCCCAAAAGGCCCTGGCTCAGGGCATTTACACTCCACCACTCTCACCGGGAGCACCACACATTCTGCCCTCTCTTACTTTTCCTCTAGGTCTTAGAGGAAATCTCACCAACTTAATTTTATGACTATAGCTCCTAGACCCTACCACCCTTCGGGTAGGGGTGGGTCTGACTTATGCCAGTATCTCCAGTAACACAGTGCTTTCCAAAGAGCAGATGCTCAGTGAGTGTTTGAGAAAGAATGAGCCAGTGACCAGGACTTCCATTTAAGATATAATTTCTCCTACATCCTTGAATAAGCCAAGAAAATCCAGGTACACATATATGGCTTAATTTTATAGAACAGCACATGAATAAAAAGCTGAGAATTAACTGTCTTTTCCTTTTATTTCTATTTTTTAGAGTAAAGTGAGAGCAAGTTTATTAAGAAAGTAAAGAAATAAAAGAATGGCTACTCCATAGCCCTGAGGGCTGCTGGTCGCCTTCTTATTTTTATTTTTATTTTTATTTTTATTTTTTTTTTTGAGACAGAGTCTCACTCTGTCGCCCAGGCTGCAGTGCAGTGGCGTGATCTCGGCTCACTGCAAGCTCCGCCTCCCTGGTTCATGCCATTCTCCTGCCCCATTCTCCCAAGTAGCTGGACTGCAGGTGCCTGCCACCATGCCCGGCAAATTTTTTGTATTTTTAGTAGAGACAGAGTTTCACTGTGGTAGCCAGGATGCTGTCGATCTCCTGACCTCGTGATCCACCCCCTTTGGCCTCCCAAAGTGCTGGGATTACAGGCGTGAGCCATGGCGCCCGGCTGGTTGCCCATTTTTATGGTTATTTCTTGATTATATGCTAAACAAGGGGTGGACTATTCATGAGTTTTCCAGGAAAAAAGTGGGGAATTCTTGGAACTGAGGGCTCCTCCCCTTTTTCAGCCATATAGGGTAACTTCCAAACGTTGCCATGGCATCTGTAAACTGTCGTGGTGCCGGTGGGAGTGTCTTTTAGCATGCTAATGCATATAATGAGCAGTGAGGATGACCAGAGGTCACTCTCATTGCCATCTTGGCTTTGGTGGGTTTTGGCTGGCTTCTTTACTGCAACCCGTTTTATCAGCAAGGTCTTTATGACCTGTATCTTGTGCCGACATACTGTCTCATCCTGTGACTAAGAATGCCTTACCTCCTGGGAATGTAGCCCAGTAGGTCTCAGCCCTATTTTACCCAGACCCTGTTCAAGATGGAGTTGCTCTGGTTCAAACACCTCTGACATTTCCCTCCTCCCTTTTATCTGAGAACCTTTATTCCTAAGGGTTGTAGAGGGATGAAGATCCATCTTCTGTAACTTCTTCAGGCTGAATAGGGGTGATGATATTACTGCCTAATTATGAGAGTCTTTTGAATTCAGGACAGAGAGGAGCTCAGTCAGAAAGCGTCAGTTTGGTGAGGGTCATACACAACTCTGAGTTCTGACAAAACATGTTATCTGGAAGATTAATAAGTGTTCAGTTTAAGAAAACATTGAGTAAGCTTATCCTGCACTCCTGCACCAAGAATACAACACCAGTGTATTCCACAACAGTAAAGCAAAATAAGTAAAATTATCCCAAGGTAAACTAAGTAAGAAGGCTTTCCTTGAACTGGGCAACTGTTAGAACCAGGCTGATACGGGGTCACTATCTGATTTCAATATGTGCCCAGAACTAGAATATTGATCCAGATTTTTACATTACCCATCCCTCTTGCTTCTTCTAAATAGCAGTCAGGGATCACTGATTGGTTCACAGGAATAAGAAAAGTGAGTCTAAATTGCAGAAAAAAACTTTAAAACAACGAATGAAACTAGAATCTAATAACAGGTGCACCATAGTTTTTGCAACATCATATTTTTTTCTCTCTCCAGTCTCCCATTTTTACTAAAGACAAATCATGGTAAGACTGGTTTGTTTTATTATACTTGGCCTGATCATTTGTATAAAGTGCAGCAAGAATAATTATTTTTCACATACGCTCTTTATATTTTTATTTTTATTTTATGTTTTAATAGAGGCAGTCTCCCAATGTTGCCCAGTCTGGTCTCGAACTCCTGGGCTCAAGCAGTCCTCCTGCCTCAGCCTCCCAAAGTGCTGGGACTGCAGGCATGAGCCACCACGCCCAGCCTCACATAAGCTCTTTTAAAACTGGCTTTGATGGGCCGGGCATGGTGGCTCACGCCTGTAATCCCAGCACTTTGGGAGGCTGAGGTGGGCGGATCACCTGAGGTCAGGAGTTCAAGACCAGCCAGGCCAACATGTTGAAACCCCATCTCTACTAAAAGAAAAAAAAAATTATATATATATATATACACACACACACACACACACACACACACAGACACACACACACACATATATACACATATATATGTGTATATATATATATATGTGTGTGTGTGTGTATATATATATATATATATATATAAGATTAGCCGAGCGTAGTGGTGGGTGCCTGTAATCCCAGCTACTCGGGAGGCTGAGGCAAGAGAATCGCTTGAACCCAGGAGGCGGAGGTTGCAGTGAGCCAAGATCACCCTCCTGCACTCCAGCCTGGGCAGCAAGAGCAAAACTCGGTCTCGAAAATAAATAAATAAATAAATAAATAAATAAATAAATAAATAAATAAATAAATGAAAATAAAAAATAAAAATAAATGGCTTTCATGGAGCTCTGTTCCATAGAAGGAATCTCAGATAAGACCTTTTTAAAGCTGAGTCCAGCCTGGGGTGGGTGCCGTCAAATACCTCTGAGTTGGGTAAAATCCTCTCCTCTTGAGGTCCCAAGATAACTTGGGGCTCCTGGGCCTGTCAGATAATGACATTCTTTACTTACCACAGGTCAGTAACCCTGCACAGGGACTGTGTAGACAAGTTATGAGGCTAGTTTTCCCAAGGGGTTTTTATTGGCTCTATAAGTCAAGTTTGATCCCTTAAAGGAAAGAACACCATTCCAGTCAAAGCCTTGGTAAAATAACCAGTTTCTCCAATTGTGTCTTGTTGCAAAAGAAAACAGATTCTTATTGCACTTATGCAAATAACTATATTGCTATAAGTTAAGAATATTCACAAGCAGTTTCCAAATTCTAGAGAAATTAGGTAGAGAGAAACAAATATGCTCTGAATTTTGTTCACAGAAGTATACTTTACTGAATTGTTAAAAGCTGTCAATAGCCCAGAAGAAAAGTTTTCCTGACTCCAAAGTCTGCCAGTCAGTGCTGCCGTCTATTTCCTTTGGGTCAGGGGGTTTCCTCAGTATTGTCCCTTCAGGGTTCACCGGAAAGATGTTACTGGAATGGGGTCCCAGTGCAGACTCCAAAAGAGGGTTCTTGGAGCTCGTGCAAGAAAGAATTCGAGGTGAATCCATAGAGTAAAGTGAGAGCAAGTTTATTAAGAAAGTAAATAAAAGAATAGCTACTCTACGGGCAGAGCAGCCTATCTTTTCCTTTTATTTCTCTGTTTCATGACCCCATCAATTTTTTTGCTAATGTATTTCATTCTCCAAGGAAACACCTATTCCAATGCCATGGCATCTTGTTCCAAACCGCAAAACCAGATGAAGGGCTTCCCAATATGTTTTACAAAATAGCAAACTCATCCAAATAGAACAGAACACAAAGACATTATACACTGAGTTCCCTTCCACCCACCGTGCCTTTCACTAGTGAGAACGCTGACTGCTCTCTTTAGAGTGAAGAATGGGCCTCATGTCACACAGGGTGGGGAAGCTGCTGGATGTAGCCCTGGAACGTGCACTAGTCCACCCCACCCTCCACTGGCCCTGGCTGCATCGCCTGCTGAAACTCTCTCTTCCTCATAGCATGCAGGATCACTTCTGGGCACCTGCCAGTACTCCAGGTAATTTTCCTGCACCCAATCCCGGGTGAGCAGCTTCCTGGGCTCCCCATAGATGAAGTGCTCCCTCCCAGCATACACCTCTATCACATTCAGGGCTTCCCACATAACCTCCTCTGGGGCGCAGTTGCCCTCCGTGAAGATCACACACAGGACAATTATTAGGAGGCCCGTCTTGGGCTTGCTCGGGTCATCAACCAGCATGCCATCATAGGAGAGGCCCAGAGAGGTGACAAGGACATAGGAATGGCCGGTGGGGACCACTTCCTTCACGTCGATGCCAAAGATCAGCTGCATGTACTCGGAGGATTCCTTGAAAATGAAAGCGAAGTAGTCTTCGTGATTTTTGATGACACTATCCACCATTTCTGCCTTTGTGACTGACTCCTTAATTCGAAACTTGTGGAGCAGGACACTAACTAAATCAGACACCTTGTCAGAGTGCCTCTCGGAGGAAGGACTCCATGACACTTGGGATGGGCAAGGTGATTGGCTCCTCCTTTTCTTGGCTGCTGGAGCCCTCATCGGATTGGTTCCATAGAGTGTTATCGATGGTAGTGGGGGAGGAGGAGGCTCCCTGCATACTCTGGGGAGGACTCAGTGCCTCAGCAGCACACAACTCCTCCAGGGTGCCCATGATCAGACTAGAGGAGGAAGAGGCAGCCTCCTCCTCCTCAGGCACAGGACCCTGCCCACCCACCAGGCCAGGGACCTCTCCTTGGGCCTCAAGGCCTTCCTCAGGCATGTAGTGCTGACTCCTCTGTCCAAGAGGCATGATGACTCTGGTCAAGGCAGCAAGCGGGAGTGTGGGCAGGAGCTGGGTAATGGGGATGCACAGGCCTGGGGAGAGAGGGAGCGTGTGAGAGGCCTCAGCTAAGAACCAGACTTTGGAGGAGGCTCTAACAAAGGCCTACTTACGGATCTTCTCCTTCAGTGCTCCTCTGGGGCCTCCTGGGGCTCCTGTCCTCCTGGTCAGCCTGTCCCCTGAGAATCTGAAGAAAGAAGTGACACAGCTTCTCAGGTTACAGCCAGCCAGCAGAGGCCAAGGCCCCAAGGCTGAGGGTAGGGCAGGTGGGGCTGGGCGCTCTGGGGTCCCATCCATTATGGGTGGGTGGGACCCTTGGTATACATTCAGGGTGAACACCTCACCTTGACTGCTGGCACTGCCTGGGTCTCCTCTGCTCTGTGGCTTGAGGACACTGACTCAGACTAAAGCCTCACCTCCAAGTTCCTGGAGCTCCTGGAAGAGGGATCAAGGGGCCCTCAGGGTGCAGGCTGCAAGCACAGCCTCAGTCCCCCGAGTGCTGTCAGGAGGGTGGGCTGGACTCTGTCAGTTCCCTCACTCTTTTGCATAGATGGCCCCTTCTATGCTCACTCAGGACCTTCACGTTTCTCCTAGCAGGGCCTGAATCCTGCCCCTTTGCTGGCCTGAGAAACTCTCAGATCAAGAGCTCATATCCCTGATATGGAACAGAAGGACATGAGGGGACCCACATCTGGCCACACCTGCTCAGGGCTTCCAGGCAAGGACAGTAAGAGGTGGCCATATTCAGCTGGGTCCATGTGTCCTGAGATGAGGAACCTGCTTGGTCCACATCTTGATGCCTGCAGATCCTGGGACTCTCCCTGTTTACCTGAGGCCACCACCTTAAATCAAATCCCTATCTCCAAGAGACACCAGTAAAGGAAGTGAGGGGATTCCATCCACCCACTGTTCCCTGCAGTTTCCCATGCCTGACAGAAAAGGCAGGGCAGGGCTGGGTCATGTGCATTCGCCGTGTGGGGTCCACTTAGTCCTCACCTTGACTCCTGGCTGAGCCTGGGACCCTCCCTCTGACCTAAATGCAGCCCCTCCAACCAAGGCCTCCCCCTCCCTGAGACCACTGATCCTGGTATAAGAGAGGGGGCCTCAACTGACAGCTCTGGCCATGCTCTCTGCGGAAACAGCAGGGGCAAGGCAGATTTCTGTGGGGCCTCCATCTGCCTTCTGGTCCAGCGGTACCCTTAATCCTCCCTCAGGTTCCTCACCTGGGGTCTTAGCAGATCCTGGGTCCGCTCTGTCTGTTAATCAGATGGGGGTCCCTGTGTTGGCCTGAGTAACCCACTGAGAACTAGGTCCTCACCTCCCTGAGATCCCAAAGCCGACATGAGGAGGACTCACATCCCGTCACCCCTCCATGGGGTGTCCAGGGCTGACACCAGGGGCTGCCCCCTTCTGTTCTGGGGTGGAAGTTCCAAAGTTCTCCTGTGGGTTATTCATCTTTACTCCTGCCGGGACCTGCCGTTCCTCAACCCTCAGCCCCCTGAGATGAGCAGACATCTCCCCTTTACACCAAGACCACATCTCCCTGAGGGTTCTCCAACTTCCTGCCCGTGGCACAAGTGAGATTGCCACTTAGGGCCACCCTGGATCAGGTCCCCCCAGAGCTAAGAACAAGGACAGCAGACTCTGCGGGGTCTCTTCTTTCTGGGCTGGGGGTACCTCCAGTCCTCATGAAAGGTGCACACCGTGGGTCCTGCAGATGCTGGGACTCCTCCCTCTGCTGACCAGGTGTGGCTCCCTCTACTGGCCTGTCAGTGTCACTGGGACCAAGGTCCTCACCTCCCTGAGACCTCCCACCTCCAACCACATGGCAGAAATGAGAGCATGCCACATGCCATCCCTGCCTGTGGCCTCCCAGGGCTGAGAACAGGGGAAGCTGGGCGGCTCTGCAAGTTCCCTTCTTCTTTATGATGTGGAGGTAACTTCTTACCTTCAGTCCTTACCAAACTTCCTCCCCTTCACTCCTGGAAGACCCTGGACTCTATCCGGTGCTGACCAGGTGTGGCTACCTCTGCTGAGCGGAGGACGCCCCTCAGACCAAGGCCCCCACCTCACTGAGACCCGGGAGGTAGAGGTGAGGGGGCACCACACGGTCACCCCTGCGTGGGATTCCCAAAGCTGACAGAAGGTGCAAGTTTCAGGGGGCCCTCCGCTGTCTGGGTGTCTTCCAGGTGTTCAGATTGAGTCCCGACAGGGCCCGGCTCTTTCCCTCCTGCTGAACTGTATGCCAAGGCCACCATGTCCCTGATACCCTCAGGGAGAAAGTGGTGGGACAGCATCCCTTCCCCACAGTCCTGCCCAGGCCTCCCAGGACTGACAGTAGGGGCAGGTTTCCTAAGTCTGGGAAGAAAGGTCTTCTGAGTCATCCTTCAGAGCTCTGGGACTCCTCTCTCTGCTGACCTGAGGCCCCACTCCCCAGACCACAGTCCTCTCCTCCCTGACACCCCAAAGGCACAGCGAGTCCAGGCCACATGTGGCCACTGTGCCTGGGACCTCCCAGGGTCGAGGTCCCCACTGATCTGGACTCCAAGTTCCCGTCAGTCCTCCCTCTTCTTCCTGCCCTTGACTCCCGGCAGGCTTGGGCCCCACCCCAGCCTGCTGACCTGAGTCTTCATCCCTCAGATTCCCAAGGCCAAATGAGGAGGCACCTCAGTCTCAAACAGGGGGTGGGTGGGCCCCCTGTCCTGGGGTCCTGGGTGCCCTCGGGCCTCTCTCAGGCCTCCCTTGTCTCCCAGCAGGGCCTGGGCCCTCCCTCTGCTCCCCGCAATCCGTGCTCATGATATGAAGCCCCTTCCCTCCGTCAGCCCTGGATGCCCATGCCAGGATCCACATGCCTGGCCACCATGCCTGGAAATTCCCAGGGCTGACAGCAAGGACAGAGCCCCGCTCTGTGGAGCCCTCAACCCTCTCTGAGGGTCCTGAACGTGATGGCTGGCAGAGCCTGGCTGCTGCCCTCTCCTAGGCAGCCCTGCCCTGATCACACCAACCTCTGACTCCAGAGTCCCCTGAGGCTTAAGTGGCAGAGAGTTGGGGGCGGCCCAGCCTGAGAAGTCCGCCCCCGGGTGGTCCTGGGTTGGCAGCAGGGGTGGTGCTGGATTTTTTAGGGTCCTCTATCTTGGGTTGCAACGGGGTGTCCCTAGTCCTCCCTCAACGCCTCACCTTTCCTTCACACACAGCCCGGGCCCGCTTTCCTCCGCCGATCTTAAGCCACCCCTCAAAACCAGGCCCTCGCTTCCCTCTGATCCCTGAGGCGCAAATCAGTGGCATCACATCCGGGCACCCGGGGCTTCCCTGCGTTGACAGCAGGGGCAAAACCTGATTCTGTCGGGGTGGGGGTGGGGATGGGAATGGGAATGGAGGAGGGGTGGGGGCGAGGATGGGGGTGAAGATGGGGATGGGGATGGGGATCCTGAGGCTGTAGGTCGTGGCGGTGACGGTGGGCTTGGGGGTGAGGGAGGCCCTCAGTCGTTCCTCAGGGTCCTCACCTTGAAACCTGGCAGAACCTGGGCCCTGCCCTCTCCTAACCACCCCTGCCTTGGTCACACCAAGCTCTGACTCCAGAGTCCCCTGTGGCATAAGCGGCGGGGGTTGGCAGGGCGCCGGGGGGTGGCCCAGACTGAGAAGTACTCCCCTAGGTGGTCCAGGGCTGGCAGCAGGGGTGACGCTGAATTATTTGGGGTCCTCTATCTGGGGTGGAGGCGTCCTCAGTCCTCCCTCAGCCTCTCACCTTGTCTTCTCACAGAGCCTGGGTCCACTTCCCTCTGCCAATCTCAAGCCGCCCCTCAGACCGAGACCCTCGCTTCTCTGACCCCCTAGCCGTCACATCCGGCCACCAAGCCTGGGGCTTCCTTGGGTTGACTGCTGGTGTCATAGCGGATTCTGCTATGAGTGGGGGTGGAAATGGGGGTGGGGGTGGGGGGTCGAGGTCGAGGGGGTGGGCACTCTCAGTCATCCTCAAGGTCCTGACCTTGATGCCTGGCAGAGCCTGGATCCCATCCTGTGTGGATGGTGTCTGCTCCCCTCAGACCAAAGCACTGACTCCGAGTCCCCTGAGGTGGCAGTGGAGGGAGGGATATGGTCGGGGCGACAACATTGTCAGGGTCTTCCAGGGCTGACAGGAGGGGCTGAACTGGATTCTGTGGTCCCTCTATGTGGGGTGAGTGGACCCTCAATCCTTACTCAGGAGGGTTCTCCTCTTGGCTCCTGGCTCTTTGATGAAGTGATGGGTGGGGGATGCTCTGTTTCTGTCACCTCTGAGTATTCGCCCAGCTGTACCCCTTGCAGAGAATGGCTGCGGGTCCCAGGCCAGGTGCTCCCTGGGGAGCTGCAGTGCCTGCGATTGTAGTGGCCTCTGGGAGAAGACACACACCTTCCCACGGGGGCTCTTCCCCAGCCAGATGCTGGGAAGAAACTGCATCAACTAACGAGCAAAATAACCAGGTAGCATCATAATGACAGGATGAGATTCACACATAACAATATTAACCTTAAATGTAAATGGGCTAAATGCTCCAGTGAAAAGACACAGACTGGCAAATTGGATAAAGAGTCAGGACCCATCTGTGTGCTGTATTCAGGAGACCCATCTCACATGTAGAGACACACATAGGCTCGAAATAAAGGGATGGAGGAAGATCTACCAAACAAATGGAAAACAAAAAAAGGTAGGGGTTGCAATCCTAGTCTCTGACAAAACGGACTTTAAACCAACAAAGATCAAAAGAGACAAAGAAGGCTATTACATAATGGTAAAGGGATCCAGTCAATAAGAAGAGCTAACTATCCTAAATATATATGCACCCAATACAGGAGCACCCAGATTCATAAAGCAAGCCCTTAGAGACCTACAAAGAGACTTAGACTTCCACACAATAATAATGGGAGACTTTAACACCCCACTGTCAACATTAGACAGATCAATGAGACAGAAAGTTAACAAGGATATCCAGGAATTGAACTCAGCTCTGCACCAAGCGGACCTAAAAGACATCTACAGAACACTCCACCCCAAATCAACAGAATATACATTCTTCTCAGCACCACATCGCACTTGTTCCAAAATTGACCATATAGTTGGAAGTAAAGCACTCCTCAGCAAATGTAAAAGAACAGAAATGATAACAAACTGTCTCTCAGACCACAGTGCAATCAAACTAGAACTCAGGATTAAGAAACTCACTCAAAAACCACACAACTACATGGAAACTGAACAACCTGCTCCTGAATGACTACTGGGTACATAACGAAATGAAGGCAGAAAGAAAGATGTTCCTTGAAACCAATCAGAACAAAGACACAACATACCAGACTCTCTGGGACACATTTAAAGCAGTGTGTAGAGAGAAATTTATAGCACTAAATGCCCACAAGAGAAAGCAGGAAAGATCTAAAATTGACACCCTAACATCACAATTAAAAGAAATAGAGAAGTAAGAGCAAACACATTCAAAAGCTAGCAGAAGGCAAGAAATAACTAAGATCAGAGCAGAACTGAAGGAGATAGAGACACAAAAAACCCTTCAAAAAATCAATGAATCCAGGAGCTGGTTTTTTGAAAAGATCAATAAAATTGATATACCGCTAGGAAGACTAATAAAAAAGAAAAGGGAGAAGAATAAAATGGACGCAATAAAAATGATAAAGGGGATATCACCACCGACCCCACAGAAATACAAACTACCATCAGAGAATACTATAAACACCTCTATGCAAACAAACCAGAAAATCTAGAAGAAATGGATAAATTCCTGGACACATACACCCTCCCAAGACTAAACCAGGAAAAAGTTGAATCCCTAAATAGACCAATAACAGGCTCTGAAATTGAGGCAATAATTAATAGCCTACCAACGAAAAAAAGTCCAGGACCAGACGGATTCACAGCCAAATTCTACCAGAGGTACAAGGAGGACCTGGTACCATTCCTTCTGAAACTATTCCAATCAATAGAAAAAGAGGGAATCCTCCCTAACTCATTTTATGAGGCCAGCATCATCCTGATACCAAAGCCTGGCAGAGGCACAATAAAAAAAGAGAATTTTAGACCAATATCCCTGATGAATATTGATGCAACAATTCTCAATAAAATACTGGCAAACCGAATCCAGCAGCACCTCAAAAAGCTTATCCACCATCATCAAGTGGGCTTCATCCCAGGGATGCAAGACTGGTTCAACATACACAAATCAATAAACGTAATCCATCATATAAACAGAACCAAAGACAAAAACCACATGATTATCCCAATAGATGTAGAAAAGGCCTTCGACAAAATTCAACAGCCCTTCATGCTAAAAACTCTCAATAAATTAGGTATTGATTGGACATATCTCAAAATAATAAGAGCTATTTATGACAAGCCCACAGCCAATATCATACTGAATGGGCAAAAACTGGAAGCATTCCCTTTGAAAACCAGCACAAGACAGGGATGCCCTCTCTCACCACTCCTGTTCAACATAGTGTTGGAAGTTCTGGCCAGGGCAATCAGGCAGGAGAAAGGAATAAAGGATATTCAATTAGGAAAAGAGGAAGTCAAATTGTCCCTGTTTCGGGATGACATGATTGTATATTTAGAAAACCCCATCGTCTCAGCCCAAAATCTCCTTAAGCTGATAAGCAACTTCAGCAAAGTCTCAGGATACAAAATCAATGTGCAAAAATCACAAGCATTCTTATACACCAATAACAGACAAACAGAGAGCCAAATCATGAGTGAACTCCCATTCAGAATTGCTTCAAAGAGAATAAAATACCTAAGAATCCAACTTACAAGGGATGTAAAGGACCTCTTGAAGGAGAACTACAAACCACTGCTCAACGAATTAAAAGAGGACACAAACAAATGGAAGAACATTCCATGCTCATGGGTAGGAAGAATCAATATAGTGAAAATGGTCATAGTGCCCAAGGTAATTTATAGATCCAATGCCATCCGCATCAAGCTACCAATGACTTTCTTCACAGAATTGGAAACAACTACTTTAAAGTTCATATGGAACCAAAAATAACCTGCATTGCCAAGACAATCCTAAGCCAAAAGAACAAAGCTGGAGGCATCACGCTACCTGACTTCAAACTATACTACAAGGCTACAGTAACCAAAACAGCATGGTACTGGTACCAAAACAGAGATATAGACCAATGGAACAGAAGAGAGCCCTCAGAAATAATACCACACACCTACAACCATCTGATCTTTGACAAACCTGACAAAAACAAGAAATGGGGAAAGGATTCCCTATTTAATAAATGGTGCTGGGAAAACTGGCTAGCAATAAGTAGAAAGCTGAAACTGGATCCCTTCCTTACACTTTAGACAAAAATTAATTCAAGATGGATTAAAGACTTAAATGTTAGACCTAAAACCATAAAAACCCTAGAAGAAAACCTAGGCAATATCATTCAGGACATAGGCATGGGCAAGGACTTCATGTCTAAAACACCAAAAGCAATGGCAACAAAAGCCAAAATTGACAAATGGGATCTAATTAAACTAAAGAGCTTCTGCACAGCAAAAGGAACTACCATCAGAGTGAACAGGCAACCTACAGGATGGGAGAAAATTTTTGCAATCTACTCATCTGAGAAAGGGCTAATATCCAGAATCTACAAAGAACTCAAACAAATTTACACGAAAAAAACAAACAACCCCATCAAAAAGTGGTCGAAGGATATGGACAGATACTTCTCAAAAGAAGACATTTATGCAGCCAAGAGACACATGAAAAAATGCTCATCATCACTGGCCATCAGAGAAATGCAAATCAAAACCACAATGAGATACCATCTCACACCTTTTAGAATGGTGATCATTAAAAAGTCAGGAAACAACAGGTGCTGGACAGGATGTGGAGAAATGGGAACACTTTTAGCCTGTTGGTGGGACTGTAAACTAGTTCAACCATTGTGGAAGACAGTGTGGCAATTCCTCAAGGACCTAGAACTAGAAATATTACTTGACCCAGCCATCCCATTACTGGGTATATACCCAAAGGATTATAAATCATGCTGCTATAAAGACACATGCACTCACATGTTTATTGTGGCACTATTCACAATAGCAAAGACTTAGAACCAACCGAAATGTCCATCAGTGTTAGACTGGATTAAGAAAATGTGGCACATATACACCATGGAATACTATGCAGCCATAAAAAATGATGAGTTCATGTCCTTTGTAGGCACATGGATGAAGCTGGAAGCCATCATTCTCAGCAAACTATCGCAAGGACAAAAAACCAAACACCGCATGTTCTCACTCATAGGTGGGAATTGAACAATCAGAACACTTGGACACAGGAAGGGGAACAGCATACACTGGGGACTGTTGTGGGGTGGGGGGAGTGGGGAGGGATAGCATTAGGAGATATACCTAATGTAAATGACCAGTTAATGGGTGCAGCACACCAACATGGCACATGTATACATACGTAACAAACCTGCACGTTGTGCACATGTACCCTAGAACTTAAAGTATAATAAAAAAACACAAAAAATTTAAAAAAAAAGAAATGAGGACTGCAATAATCAAGAGGATCTTCTTGCTATTTTATTATGAATACACTTGTCAGCAAAAATGCCTTTGAGTTTAATCCAAGTTGTGTGTATCTTTCTTTCTTTTTCTTTCTTTTTTTTTCTTTTTTTTGCTAAATAGTATACAATTGTTCAGATGCAGCACAGCTTGTTTAGCCAATACCCATGGAAGGATATTTGGGTTGTTTGCAGATTTTGGGCAAATATGAATAGAACTTTTATAAAAATTCAGGTGTAGGCTTTTTTGTGAACAAACGTTGTTATTTCTCCCAGGATTGGCATTGCTGAGTCATGTAAGTGTATGTTTTTGGGAAATTACCAAATCATCTTCTGCAATGGCTATGACATTTTACATTCCCACAGTAATGTATGAGTTTCAAGTTGTTCTTTATCCTTACTAGCACTTAGTAATGTCAATTTTTTAATTTTAATCATTTTCCAATGTGTGTAGTGTTATCTCATTTTGATTTCAATTGACATTTTTCTGATGGTTAATGATGTAAAACAATTTTTATGTGCTTATTTGCTATTATATGCTCACTTTGGTGAAGTACTTATTGAGGTATTTTGCCCCTTATCAAAACTGGGTTAGACCGGGCATGGTGGCTCACGCCTGTAATCCCAGCACTTTGGGATGCTGAGGCGGGTGGATCATGAGGTCAGGAATTCGAGACCAGCCTGACCAATATGGTGAAACCCCGTCTCTACTAAAAAATACAAAAAGTAGTCAGGCATGGTGTCACGCACCTATACTCAGGAGGCTGAGGCAGGAGAATCGCTTGAACCCGGGAGGCGGAGGTTGCAGTGAGCCGAGACTGTGCCACTCCAGCCTGGGTGACAGAGCAAGACTCTGTCTAAAAAAAAAAAAAAAAAAAAAAAAAAAAAAGAGTGAGACTGTGTCTCAAAAACAACAAACAGCAACAAAAAAACTGTGTCATGTGTTTTTTAATTGTTAAATTTTGAGAGCTCATTATGTATTCTAGACACAAATCCTTTGTTGGATATACGATTTGCAAATATTTACTTCTTGTCCGTTGCTGGCTTTTTGACTTTTTATTGTCTTTCTAAGAGTGAAAGTTTTTAATTTTGAGAAATTCTAATTTATTTGCTTCCTCTATGAATCCTACTTTTGTTGTCATGTTCAAGACCTCTTTGCCTAGTCCAGGTCATGAGATTTTCTGCAATGCTTTCTTTAAAAATGTTGTTCTTTTTCATTTAACATTTAGGTCTATGATACATTTTTTACACCTGGATATCTAATTGTTCCAATATCATTTATTGAAAAGACCAACATTTGTCAATTGAATTACTTTAGGTCTTGGTAAAACTCTACAGGCCATACTTATGTGGGTGTACTTCTGGGCTCTCTACTCAGTTTCATTGATCTGTGTCCATGCCTTGACTGACACCACAAGGTCTTGATTACTACAGGCTTATCTTAAAATCAGGTGGTATAATTCTGCTAAACTTCCAAATTTATTATGCTTTTTATAACTTTTTGACAAATAAAAATGCCTATATAGTTACTTTTTACATGTGGTGAATACACTTAAGATCTACTCTCTTAGCAAATTTCAAGTATATATAATACATTATTATTAACTATAGTAACCATGTTGTATATCAGATCTCCAGAACTTACTCATCTTATGACTGAAATTTTGTACACATTGACCAGGATTCCTCGATTTCCACCAACTTCCAGCCCTTGACAACCACCTTTCTACTCTCTCTTTCTATGAGGTTGATTTATTTAGATTCCCCATGTAAATGAGATCATGCAGTATTTGTTCTTTTGTGCCTGATTTATTTTACTTAGTATAATGTCCTCCAGTTTCATCCATGTTGCTGCACATGACAGGATTTCATGTTTTTTATGTCTGAATAATAACAGTTTCTTTATTCATCCATCCACTGATGGACACATAGGTTGTTTCCATACCTTTGCTACTGTGAATAATGCTGCAAGGAACATGGGAGTGCAGATGTCTCTCTGAGATCCCAATTTTAATTTCTTTGGATATTTACCCAGAGCTGGGATTGGTGGAT
This sequence comes from Homo sapiens, assembly GCF_000001405.40. Classification (NCBI taxonomy): domain Eukaryota; kingdom Metazoa; phylum Chordata; class Mammalia; order Primates; family Hominidae; genus Homo; species Homo sapiens. The sequence continues at coordinate 287,500 of NW_025791818.1, read as the reverse complement.
CATGGGCGTTATTTTTTGTTTTCTGAAAAACTTCCATACTGTTTTCCATAATGTCAGTGCCAGTTGACACTCCCAGCAACCAGTATACAAGGGTGTTCTTTTTTTTTTTTATTATACTTTAAGTTTTAGGGTACATGTGCACATTGTGCAGGTTAGTTACATATGTATACATGTGCCATGCTGGTGCGCTGCACCCACTAACTCGTCATCTAGCATTAGGTATATCTCCCAATGCTATCCCTCCCCCCTCCCCCCACCCCACAACAGTCCCCAGAGTGTGATGTTCCCCTTCCTGTGTCCATGTGTTCTCATTGTTCAATTCCCACCTATGAGTGAGAATATGCGGTGTTTGGTTTTTTGTTCTTGCGATAGTTTACTGTACAAGGGTGTTCTTTCGTCCCCATCCTTACCAATGCTTATCATTTGACTTTTTGATAATAGCCATTCTAAGAGGTAAGATGATATCTCATTGTAGTTTTGATTTTCATTTCCCTGATGATTAGTGATGTTGATCACTTTTTTATATACCTCTTGGCCTTCTTCAGAGAAATGTCCATTCAGATATTTTGCCTATTCTGTTTTCTTTTTACTGTTGAATTATATGAGTTCCTTGTATATTTTGGATATTAGCTCTCTATCAGACATGTGGTTTGCAAATATTTCCTCCAATTCCATAGGTTCCCTTTCCATCTCATTGATTGTTTCCTTTGCTGTGCAGAAACTTTTTCAGTTTGATTGAACTCCCATGTGTTTATTTTTGCTTTTGTTGCCTGAGCTTTTGGAGTCACAGTCATAAAGTCATTGCCAGGAACAATATTAAGGAGCTTTTGCATCCCCAGGATAAATTCCACTTGATCATGGTGCATAATTCTGTTAATATGCTGTTGAATTCAGTTTGCTAGTATTTTGCTGGGGACTTTTGCATCTGTGTTTAACAGCATATTGTGATTGTTTTAGGTATTCTAGTTCCTTTTCCCTTCCATGAACTTTTGGAATCAGCCTATTTATATTTACAAAAATCCTGCTGCAATTTTGATGGATATCTCTTTGAATATATAGATCAATAGAGTGAGAATTGACATCTTCACTAGGTTGGGTCTACCAGTCCACTAACATGATATGTGTCTCTATCAATTAGTTAATTATTTAGGTCGTATTTGATTTATTTAATCAGCATTTTGTTATTTTCAGCATATAGATCCTACACATGATTTTTTAGATTTATACATACATATTATGTGTTTGGAGCTATTAAAATGATATTTTAAACTTTTGATTCCCCATTTTTTACTTGTAGTTGTATGTAATAACACTTCATTTTTGTAGGTTGACCATGTAACCTTGCTGAAGTTCTTGTAGTTTCCTTAGGGATTTCCCCGGCTTCTTCCCAGGCTGCTGGGTATGAAAAGGCACATGGGTGCCAAGCCAGCAAAATGAGACCCATGCCTTCTCAAGGCTGTACTCCCACTGCCATAGGTTATTCCAGATGCCAAGTGCCTCACCCACTGAAACAGCCATGAGCTGGCCAGCCAGGGCCCCCCACTCGGCCTGAGACCTTAGTCCCCAGAAGGTAGAGATTAGAATCCTTATATGTTCTTTGCATCAGAGAGGAGACTAAGGACAGTTGTGCCCAGTGATGTCAACGTGCTGGACTCTGACTGGTGCCCAAGAAAGTTGGTAAAGGTGGGGAGAGGCAGGCACAGCCCTGGCCCTTGACTAAGGCAAGGTCCCTGGAAGATTCCACTCCCATCCATCCTGGACCTACTGCAGCCATAGCCTTCACTCTGGTCATCCTCCAGGTGAAAGTGTTGGAAGAAAAAAAGTGAAAAGAGATAGGAGGAGGGAAGAGAAGACACAATCTCTAGGCTATCTACCAAGACTATAGAAATAGACCAGCTGTATAGAAACATTGGGGAAAGATAGAAAGAAGGAGCAATCACTTTGTCTATAGGAGAGAACTCCTGGAGTTATTTGCTGCTATGATTTTGTTTGAAATACAGGAATTTGATTTGTTAGTGTTCTGGAGATACTGTGAAAGGAAAAGTGAGGATCTCAGAAAAGCAGAGAGTCAGCAGGAAAGTCAGAACTGGACGACCAGCCCAGACCTGGTTCCCTGAAGGGCCACCCTCCCCGACAAGCTGTGCAAAATGCTACTGTTGGGACAATATCTTCCCTAGACCCCTCCCTAGGGCCCCAATTGCCTCCCTGGGACTATCAACATGGTGGCTAGACACGACTCAGGTTCTCATGGATGAATTTATCCACTCCCCCTACTCACATGGCTTGCTCTAGAAGGCCCCTTCTCTTCTTCATTCCAGCAGCTAGACATGAGTCACCTAAATAATCAGAAACAGAGGCTGCAGATACAAGATAGACTAATAAGGGGGAAAAACAGTAGTTTTTGGTACAAGTTCCAGACAGAATTATTTAAATACATACTGCCAATCTCAAATATAAAGATACTTAGTGGTACTGAGGAGAGGAGGAAAGGAGAAGATTAAGAAACCACAGCTAGGACCTCAGACCTTCACGGAATGGCAATTGCCCAACCCACTTCCACCTCCACTCCTGTGGGACAACCTTTCCCTCCCCCTCTGCCATCAGATGTGCACTCTTCACAGCCTGGCATGCCCATACACAAGCCCCAGGGGCTGTGTCCAGTACTTTGAGGAATGATGTTGGACTGAAGGGAAAGTATGACCCTGATTACAGTCGACTATAGAGAACCAGCTTTAAATCACTCTTTGGGAAAATAGTAGCGCTGTTTTTTTTTTTTAAAAAAAAAGGAAGGAAAAGGGAAGGAAGGGCGAGAGGAAGTGAGGGAGAGAGAAAAGGAAGATTTTTTTTAAAAAAAAGAACGCTGAAGCAAATATGTGAGAAAATAGGGTCTGCTTTGGAGAGGAGGGAAAAGAAAGGAAGGGAAAGGAGAAGGAAATAAGAATGTGGATGACAAGTTGTACAGTGGTAAGAGTCTGGGACAGGGGTGAGGAGATTCACATTCCAGTCCCTGCTCTCCTGCTAACTTACTAAGTAGCATGTGCTATCTCTTCCCTGAGTCTCAGTTTCCCCATCTGTGCAATGGGGGGAAGTGGGGAGTTAGGCCACCACCAATGTCCCTGTATGCTCTGCTATCTTGGGGAAAGGCAGACTCACTCACAGAATGAGGCTGTCAGTGAGGGTGAATTTTATTTGATTAAATTAGTAATGGATTCAGTAAATATAAACGTCAGCTCTGTTGACAAAAGGTTTCTAAACTAATACTCTCAATCACCCATCAGTTAGCACAAATGGCATCTTATCCTTCAACTTGCTTTTAAAAAAACAGCTTTATTGAGATACAATTCAAATACCATAAAATCACCCATTTATACATACAATTCATTGTTTTTACTGTGTCCACACGATTGTGCAACCATCACCACAATCAATTTTAGAATATTTCTATCTTCCCAATAAGAAGCCCTGTACCCATTAGTATTCCTTCTTCATTTCCTTCCAGCCTCACATCCCCAGCCCCAGGCAATCACTAGTCCACTTCCTGTCTCTGTAAGTTTGCCTATTCTGAGCCTTTCATATAAATAGTATCATATAATATGTAGTCTTCTGTTAATAGCTTTTTTTACATAGCATAATGTTTTCAAGCTTCATCTATGTTGCAGCATGTATAACTTCATTCTTTTTAGGGCCAAATAATATTCCATTGTATGAATATGCCACATTTTGTTTATCTACTCTTCCACTGATGGACATGTAGGTTGTTTCTACCTTTGGGATATTGTGAATAGTGCTGCTATAAACATTTTTGTACAGGTTTTTGTGTGGACATACGTTTTCATTTTTCTTGGGTGTATACCAAGAAGTGGAATTGCTGGGTCAAATGATGACTCCATGTTTACGTTTTTGAACAACTGCTAAACCTTTCCAAAGTGCTTGCACCATGTTACAATCCTAGCAATGTATGATGGTTTCAATTTCTCCATATCCTCACCAATGCTTGTTGTTATCTGTCTTTTAGATTCCAGCCATCCTAGTGGATGTGAAGTGGTATCTCACTGTGGTTTTGATTTGTATTTCCATAATGCCTAATAAGATCTGGCTTCTTTTATTATGCTTATTGGTCATTCATATATGTTCTTTGGAGAAATGTCTATTGAAATCTTCTGCCCATTTTAAAATTAGGATATCTTTCTTTTTATTTTTGAGTTATAAGAGTTATTTATATACTCTTGATACCAGTGTATCATAAAATATATGACTTAAAAGTATTATAATTTTTCAGGGCGCTGGTTCTTCCTCTATCCAGTACAAAGGCCATGACAAGTGAATTCCTTTGTCATCTCATCCATCTGATACTGTAGCAAGTTCCCAAGCAGATGATCTTCTGTTATACCTGCTATTAATCTCCCATTAGACTTCCCTCCTTGGGAAGGCTGTAGGCTTCATCTCCTGTACTTTGTACTTCATGTACCCATCACAATAGAAGCACACTTCTAAGATTTTCCAGAAACCCAAGGATTAAAGCTGACTTTGATACTCTCTCACCTTCCAGGATTCCCACTATCATTTCATACATGGCTCCAGTAAATTCCATATTTCAATGCCAAGCAGTTAGGTATTTTAAAAGACTTGAGTTATTTACTCAGCACTTTAGTTGTTTTCATAACGGGGGTTGTTCAGAATATCTTTTTAAATACTTTGTCAAAAATGGAGGCCTGTATACACTTTAAAAATGTTTTATGTTGAAATAATTATAGATTCAAGGAAGCTACAATGGTAGTAGAGAAGTTCTAAGTAACCATCCAATTTCAGCCAAGGATTACTACCTCAAAATCAGGAAACTGATACAATATATTTGTTGCCAATTTATCAGAAGTGTAGATTTGCAACTACCACCCCAGTCAAGGTACAGATCATGATACAATTAAGATACAGAACTATACCATCTACACAAACTTCCCTGTGCTACCCTTTATAATCACACTCACGCTTTCCCCCCCGCACAATCCCCAATTCCTGGAAACCAATAGTCTGTTGTCCATATTTATAACTGTTATATCAGGAATGTTACGTACATGGAGCCACACAGTATGAAACGGAATTTTAATACTGGATTTTTTCAATGAGCATAATGCCCTTGAGGTCCATATAAGTTGTTGTTGCACCTTTCAGTAGTTTTCTCATTTTTATTGTGGAGTAGTTATGTATCACAGGTTGTTTAACCATTCATTTATTGAAGGATATTTTAGTTGTTTCAATTTTTTGACTACTACAAATAAAGGTGTTATCAACATTCATGTTTATTTTCAACCTACTTATATCATTATATTTGAGCGAGTTTCTTACAGACACCATATAATTGGGTAATTTTTTGAATCCACTATTCTATTCTCTGTATTTCAATTGGTATGTTTAGATCGTTTTCTGCACTTGAAAGATCTTGTACCACTTTTTCTAGCCTCTGTGTTTTCTACAAATAAATCCTCTGTCATTTGAATTGTTATCCCCTTATAAAAGGTGTCATTTTAATACATTTGCAGCCTTAGTCTCTTTCTCCTCTCCTTCTGGGACTTCGATGGTAGAAATAACAGATCTTTTGGCACAATCCTATTGGTCCCTGCAGCTTTGTTTATGTTTTCCTTCTATTTTTAACTCTGTTGTTCAGACTGGATCATTTTTATTACTCTGTCTTCAGTTCACTGATTTCCCTTCTGTCCTCTCCATTCTGCTGTTGAATACATCAGTTAAGGTTTTAATTTCAGTTATTGTATTTTTCAGTTCTAAAGTTTCCATTTGTTCTTTTAATATCTCCTGTTTCTTGCTGAGACTTTCTGTTTTCCTGTGTTTTAAGTGTGTTTGTAATTACTCGTTGAAACATTTTTATGATGATTTATTTCTAATACTTTTCGGAAAATAAGTCCAACATCTGTGTCCTTTTGGTGTTAGCCTGTCTTGATTGTCTATTCTCATTTAAGTTGAGATTTTCCTGATTCTTGGCATGATGAGGTTTTATTTTATTTTAATTGCATCCTGGGCATTTTAGTATTGTGCCATAAGACTGGATCTTGTTCAAACCTTCTATTTTAACTAACTTCCTCTGACACTGCTCTAGCAGGGGAAGGAGGCCACTGCTTCATCACTGCCAGATGGGTTCCTAGCTTGGCCTCCACTGACACCCAGGGAGGTTGTCTTTGTTACTGTTGGGAAATGGTGGCAATTCCAACTCCCTACTAGACTTCCCCTGAATATCTCCTTCCTGGAGGGGCAGGACTGCCTCATTACTGCTCCCCATGTGGAGCACTGACATCATGGTGGTTGGGCGTGGTTGCAGTATCTATGCCATATTGAAATCCTGAGTCTCTGCTAGGCCTCCTTACCAACTGGTAAGGAATCAAACTCCCAGGCCCCTACTGAGTCTTCTCTGTTACCATCTCTGGTGGGGTGCAGTCGAGTGGGGTTTCAAATACTTTGGTATAGCCTGATAAGGTTAGATATCTGGGCTCACTACTTGGTCTTTGCTGTCTGTTTGGGGTGGAGCCACATTTTTTTCTGTGTTGTCTGGCTGGAGTAGAGCAGTTAATGTCTAAACATTTTCTGCCTTAATGGGTTACCCCTGTCCTGGTCCTTTGGCTGGAGAGAGCAAGTTTTTGTTGGGGCTTTTCTTGTCTGTGCCCATTGGCATTTCTGGGTTTGTTGCTTCTTTGTCTCCAAGTCTGGGATATATGAGGCAAAAGGAAACCCAGGCAATGCCCCACCATGCCACTCCTTTGGTCCCAAGGTCACTAGAGAGTTTTCTTTCTTCTTTCCACTATTCAGACTCTTCTTGTGCTTGTAGTATAGCCAAGGTCCAGGCAGTTTAGTTATGTCTACCATGTTAAACAGAGAAAAGTACCTCTACTCCATCTTCCTGAAGACAGTTGAATCCATACAGAGTATTTTTAAATAGTAATAAGCCCATTTAAAAAGTCTTGATTTTTAAATTAACACCATATCCCAGGATTTTAAAATAATCCCAGTCATTAAATACTCTCCCTTCCCAAGTCTTTTATTTTTATTCTTTTCAAAAGTTGTTTTGTTCTTGTAGAAAATATAATTTTTGAAAAACAGCTCTTGTAAACAATAGGCTTCTCTACCTAGAAAATCCTAAAGCCTCCACAAAAAGGCTTCTGGAACTGACAAACAACTTCAGCAAACTTTCAGGATACAAAATCAATATACAAAAATCAGTAGCATTTCTATACATCATTAACGTTCAAGCTGAGAGCCAAATCAAGAATGCAACCACATTTACAATAGCCACAGAAAGGTGGAATAGCTAGGAATATATCTAACCAAGGAAGTGAAAGATCTCTACAAGGAGAACTACAAAACCCTGCTAAAAGAAATCACAGATGACACAAATAAATGGAAAAATATTTCATGCTCATAGATTGGAAGAATCAATATTGTTAAAATGACTATATTGCCTGAAACAATCTACAGATTCAATGCTATTCTTATCAAACTACCAATGTTATTTTTTCACAGAATTGGAAAAAACTATTCTAAAATTCACATAGAAGCAAAAAATAGCCTGAATTGCCAAAGTCATCATAAGCAAAAGGAACAAAGATGGAGGCATCACATTACCTGACTTCAAACTATAGTATAAAGCTACAGTAACTGAAACAGCATGGTACTGGTAGAAAAACAGACACATAGACCAATGGAACATAATAGAGAACCCAGAAATAAAGCCATACACCTACTGCCATCTAATCCTTGACAAAGTCAACAAAAATAAGCAATGAGGAAAGTACTCCCTATTTAATAAATGGTGCTGGGATAGCTGGCTAACCATATGCAAAAGAATGAAACTGGACCCCTTTCACCACCACATGCTGAAATTAACTCAAGATAAAGATTTAAATGTAAGACCTCAAACTGTAAAGATCCATATTAGTCTGTTCTCGTGTTGCTATAAAGATCTACCTGAGACTGAGTAATTGAAAAGGAAAAGAGCTTCAACTGACTCACAGTTTGGCAGGCTGTACAGGAAGCATGGCTAGGGAGGCCTCAGGAAACTTACAATCATGGCAGAAGGCAAAGAGGAAGGAGGCACGTCTTACATGGCTGAAGCAGGAGGAAGAGAAAGAGAGGGGGGAAGTGCTACACACTTTTATAAACAATCAGATCTTGTGAGATCTCACTCATTATTACGAGCACATCAAGGGAGAAATCCGCCCCCATAATACAATTCCCTCCTACCAGGCCCCTCTCCCAACACCGAGGATTACATTCGACATGAGATTTGGGTGGGAATACAGACCCAAATCATATCAGAATCCTAGAAGAAAATATCAGAAAACACTATTCTGGACATGGGTCCTGGGAAATAATTTATGACAAAGTCCTCAAAAGCAATTGCAGCAAAAATAAAAATTGATAAGTCAGATCTAATTAAACTAAAAAAATTCTGCACAGCAAGGTAAGTATCAAGACAGAATGGGGAAAAATTTGCAAAAGTATGCATCTGACAAAGGTCTAATATCCAGAATCTATAAGGAACTTAAACAGTTCAACAAGGAAAAATAACCCACAACCCCATTTAAAAACTGAGCAAAAGACACAAAGAGACACTTCTCAAAAGATTGCATACAAGCAGCCAACCATCGTGAAAAAATGTTCAGCATCACTAATCATAAGAGAAATGCAAATCAAAACCACAATGAGATACCATCTCACCCCAGTAAGAATGGCTATTCTTGAAAAGTCAAAAACAACAGATGTTGGCGAGGCTGCAGAAAAAAGGGAATGCTTATACACTATTGGTGGGAATGTAAATTAGTTCAGCCACTGTGGAAGGTACTTTAGCGGTTTCTCAAATAACTCAAAACAGGACTACCATTTGTTCCAGCAATCCCATTACTTGGCATATATCCAAAAGAAAACCAATTATTGTACCAAAAAGGCACAGGCACTAGCATGTTCGTTGCAGCACTATTCACAATAGCAAAGACATGGAATCACCCTAGCTGCCCATCAATTGTGGACTGGATAAAGAAAACATACATATACACCATGGAATACTATGCATTCATAAGAAAGAACAAAATCATGTGATGCAATTTGCAGCAACCTGGTCGCAGGTGGAGGCCATTGTCCTAAGTGAATTAACACAGGAACCAAAAACCAAATACACACTGGGGATTACTGGACTGGGGAGGGAGGGGAGCAAGGGTTGAAAAACTGTTGGGTTCTGTGCTCAGCACCTGGATGACGGGATCATTTGTACCCCAAACCTCAGCATCAGGCAATATAACCAGTTATCAAACCTGCACATGCACGCCCAGAATCTAAAATAAAAGTTGAAGAATAAGAAAAAAAGCTTTATTAAAAGATATTTGACATAAAAAAACCTGCATTATGTGTAAATTTCATAAGCTTTGACACATGTATACCTCTGAAAAACCATCATCACAATAAAGAGAGTGAACAGATGCATCACCCTCAAAAGTTTTCTTCTACCCTTCATAATTCCTCCTGTAGGAGCCCCCTCCCTGAACTTCCATTCCCAAGAAACCATGGATCTGCCTTCTGTTACAATAGATTCTTTTACATTTGGGGAAGTTTTATATAATTACCTAGAAGTGGTATACTTGCATGACATGATAGGTGCATGTTTAACATTTTAAGAAACTGCCAAATTCTCACCAATACTTGGTATTGTCAGTCTTTTCCATATTAGCTAATCTAATAGGTGGATGGTAGTCTCTCATTGTGAGTTTTAGCTTTTTTCACTTAGCATACACTACGATCTGAATGTATCCTCACAAAATTCATGTGTTGAAACTTAATTGACAATGTGATAATATTAAGAGGTGGGACCTTTTAGACGGTGATTAAGTCATGAGGGTGGATCCCACATAAATGGAATTAGTTCAGGAGGTTCGAGGGAGCTGTTAGCCCCTTTCACCATGTGAGGACACTGCAAGAAGTGCTGTTTATAAAGCAGAGAGCCCCCACCAGACACTGTGCTGGCACCTTGATTTTGGACTTGCCAGCCTCCAGAACTATGAGAAATAAATTTCTAATATTTATAAATTACCCACTTTAAGGTATTTTGTTACAGCAGCCTGAATGAAAACAACATAATTCCCTTGAGCTGTTGCATATATCAACAGTTTCTTCCTTTTCATTGCTAAGTAGTATCCTATGTACAGATCTACCATAGTTTGTTTAGACATTACCCCATTGAAGGTCATTTGGGCTGTTTTCAGCATTTGGGTATTATAAATAAAGCTACTGTGGACATTCATGTACAGCTTTCAGTGTGATCATACATTTTCATTTTTCCAGGATAAATGCCCAAGTATGAAATCTGGGTTGTGTGTTAGTTGTATGTTTTATATTTTAAATTAATAGACATTATAAAACAGTTCTAATTTATAGGAAATTGGACAGTACTGATAGTTCCCAGTAGCCTCATCCTCTTATACAATTTTCCTTATTATGAGCTTTTTGCATTAGTGTGGTATATTTGTTACAATTAATGAACCAATGTTGATAAATTATTATTAACTAAAGTCTATTGTTTACATTAAGGCTTACTTTGTGTTGTATATTTTCATGGTTTTTAAAAAATGTCCAATGTCATTTACCCACCATTCCAGTACCATATGGAATAGTTTCATTGTCCTAATGAATTTCTTGTGCTTCACCTATTTATGCTCACTCTTTCTCCCTGAATCCCTAGCAAGCACTGATCTTTTTATATCAATAATTTTACTTTCTCTAGCATGTCACATAGTTGGAATCATATGGTGCGTGGCCTTTTCAAACTGGCTTCTTTCACTTAGCAATATGCATTTAAAATACCTCTGTGTTTTTTTCATGGCTTCATAGCTCATTTTTATTGCTGAATGGTATTTTTATTCTGAGGTTTGAATGTACCAGAGTTTGTTTATCCATTCACCTATTGAGGGGCATCTTGGTTGCTTCCAGCTTTGGGAAATTATGGATAAAGCTGCCATAACATTTGTATGGAGTTTTGTGTGGAGATAAGTTTTCTACTAAATAAGATAAAATATCAAAATCTATGATTGTTGCATCATATGGTAAGGCTATGTTTAGCTTTGTAAGAAACTGCTGAAGTGTCCTCCAAACAAGTGTACTATTTTGCATTACTACCAGCAATTAATGGGAATTTCTGTTGCTCAGCATCCTAACCAGCAATTGGTATTGTCAGTGGTTTGTATTTTAGGCATCCTAATATGATGTGGTGATATCTCATTGTTGTTTAAATATGTAATTCCCTAATTATAAATGATGCTTATCTTTTCTTATGCTTATTTGCCATCTGTATGTTTTCTTTGATAAGTACCTTTTCATATCTTTTGCCCATTTTTAATTTTTTTTTGTTTTCTTATTGTTGAATTATGAGTACTTTGTATATTTTGGATACAAGTCCTGTATCAGACATGTGTTTTGCAAATATTTTCTCCCAGTCTGTGCTTGCCTTTTCATTTTCTTAACGGTGCCTTTCAGTGCGTTAATGAAGACCTTCAACCATCAAACTGGGATTTGCAGCTTCTGGTAGGAAACACTTCAGGCTGATAATCAGCCTCTGTATGAGAATGGGGTCATTCAAAATGAGCCCCAGGGTGATTGCTGGGGGGATCATGTAGGATGAAGGGTGCTTTCGTGTTAATCTCATCCACCCATGATCAATGCCCACCCGGATCAACACCTGCCCCACCTCTGCTTCACATACTTCCTCTTAGCTGCCCTCACTCTTGACAGGGCCCTCATCAGAACTCAGGAACCCTGAGATTCCAAAAGAGGTTGACTTGTGTTTTCGTGAGAGAGTTCACTGAAGGTTTGGGTCATCTCCAGATTCACTGTGCCCAGGACCAACTCAGCTGTTGAGGAGTTTTTCTTCCTCAGCTTTGGCTTTAGTGTCTCTGGTGCAGTTAGCCTTTCTTATAGCCAGAATGGGGTATACAGCCTGTGATACTTAATTTTAGGTGTCAAGTTGACTGGGCTAATGTCCAGATAGCTGATAAAGTATTATTTCTGAGTGTGTCTATGAGGGTGTTTCTGGGAGTGACTGGCATTTGAATCAATGGCCTGAATAAGGAAGATCTGCCCTCACTCAATGTGGGTGACACCATTCAATTGGCTGAGACCCAGATTGAACAAGAAGGTAGAAGAAAGGCAAATTTGCACTATCTGTCTTCTGGAGCTGTGACATCCATCTTCTTCTGCTTTTGGACATCAATTCCAGGCTCTCTGGCCTTTGGACTTTAGGACTCGCACCATCATCTTTCCGGGTTCTTGGGACTTCAGCCTGGGACTGAGAGTTACACCTATTGGCTTCTGTGGTTCTGAGGCCTTCACTGGACTTAGACTGAGCCACACTTCTGGCTTCTTTGGCTCTCCAGTTTGCAGATGGTATTTTGTGGGACTTCTCAGCCTCCATAATTGAGTGAGCCAATTTTCCTAATAATCTCTTCTCATCCCTCTCATACCTATCATAGGTATATATGTATGTATATGTATGTATATGTATATGTATATGTATATGTATATGTATATGTATATGTATATGTATATGTATATATATCTATCCTATTGCTTGCAAACCTCAGAGGTGAAGGTAGAAAGCTTACACAAGAAAAGTCTGCTCCTAAAACTGTAGACAGTTGGGGACCAGGTTTCAGCTCCTGACTCCCATGACCTCTGGGATTTTGGTAGTGCAGCCTGTCAGAAATAGCAAAGGGGCTGTTTTTCCTTTCCCTGGGGGGAAAGGATGAGGAGAATGACTATCTGCCTGGAGCTTCTCCTGAATACTACCTACAGTAGACACTCTTACTGATGAATGGCAGTATTTTAGAACTTTTGCATATGTTACTGGCTTAAGATGAGAAGACTACCACAAAGGGAGGGCATGAGTACCTTTAAGCGGGGAAATGAGAAAGTAACATCCTTTCAAAGATCAACGGAAGACACCTATGGTTGCCACTAGTGCAATTCCAGAATATATAGATCACCCCTCTTGGGTACACAGCAAACTGAATGTCCTGGTTCCTTATAGTCGGGTTAGGCTATGGTGTTGGTTCTACCTAATGAGTCATGAGTTTGAGTGAGGTATGTCCTTTCTGGCTGCAGTATTTAGTTACTAGTGTGAGCCCCACTACTTTCCCTTCCCCTTACTACAAAGATTGTAGAAGCACACGATGAAATCTCTGTCAGCTTGTTCCTGAGTTGCCACCATGAGCAGAAGCTCCCCTGATGACCTGCATTAGATGTGCAATGTGAGAAGGAAATAAACATTTTTGGGGGGTCAAGTCACTGGGATTTTGGGATTGTCACAATAGCAGCACCTAACCTTTCCTGACTCATTATCTAATACTAAATTGGGTATTTCCAAGTAGTTAGCCATTGTCTGGTGGTGTGATGGGGCAGCCACTTTTATTTATTGGAGAGGAAGGTGGAGGTTTCACTTTCTTCACGAAAGGATTTACATACTTCTCCATGGAGAGTGTATCAGGGTGGGATTTCTCGAGGCCTGGCCCATACCAACCTAGAGTAACAAGAGGGTTTTTGATTAGGTGAAAAATGTTATGCTCCGAGAGGCAGACCAACAGTAGCAATAGAAAGGTGTGTTTGTGTGGTGGCCATGGAGTTGTGTGTCTTTCAGCTCTCCAGTAAGAGAATCTGCTATTGGAGGCATTGTTACTTATCAGCTACAACTGTACTTGTGTGGAGGCCATGCTTCCCCTGGGGCTGCTCCCATCCAGTGGCTGAGAGGAGCAGGGATGACATTGCTGGCCTGTTCCCAGCCTGTGCAGGACCAGAGAGCACAAGTAACTGCATGAGCAGATGGCTTTGACCCCTACACTGCTTATCACAGTTGTACCAGCGCCCCTTCCCCACTTTGTACCTGTGACCACATGGGGGAGCCCTTTATGACCAGCTGTAGGAGGGAAAGGGCCCTAGCTGGTTTATAAATGAGCTGGTTCAGTCTGTGTGTACAAGCTGAAAATGGACGGCACTGCATGTCAGGCACACCTGGGGGTGGTCTTGAAAGAGAGTGGCAAGGGAAAATCTTCCCCTTAATGGGTAGAGCTTTGAGCACCTAGCCTGGGGTCAGAATGGGCTGGCTAGCTGGTCAGGGGCCAGGGAGAGACAGGACTAGAAGAGGCTCCCAAATGAACAAAGTCTTGTCCAAGGGCACACAGAGTGCTTCTGAGAGAAGCGGGTGGGGAGGAGTTGGTGCGTGGAGAGCTGGGGTCCATAATCTCCAATAAATTTTTAACCTCCTTTCCCAACCCAGAGTGATACTGGAGGGAGACTTCCTAAGAAGCTGGCGTATTTCTACTCCCTTTTGTTTCTCTTTGAGAACACTACCTTGGAAGATATTACTTCTTTTAAGTTCTTTCCTCCAACCCTTTTGTTTTGTTTTGAGACAGTCTTGCTCTGTTTCCCAGGCTGGAGTGCAGTGGCACGATTATGGCTTACTGCAGCCTTGACTTGCGGGCTCAAGTCGGGGCTCTCCCCCTATAAAATTGAACGAAACTTCTACCTTGTATTTTGGCACCACAGTGGCCTGTTCTGTTTTAAAAGTTTTGTTTTAGAAGATTAAGAATGGCTTCTGCAAAAATCAAAACTAATTTAAACTGTGCTGTTGCTAATTCCCCTCGGCTTGAAAACCATGGCTTCCACTGTCCTGGGGTATGAAGAGGTCTATGTGAAAAGCGGTGGGAAGGCCATGGGAAGTGAGTGATGGAAGCCAGAGGTTTCCTGGGCCCAGACAGCTGTCCTGCTCAATATCTTCTAATCCAACAGAGAGGAAACACGATGACCTGGTAGAGTACTTGTTATTATATTTATTTATTTTTCTTTTAGCTATTTACAAAATTTTATTTCAGTATATTTTTCAGAAGCATAATTTTACGTTTCTTCATATTTTACTTTGTTAAAGTCCGGACCAGTCAAGGTCCTTTTCATGCAAAGATGTACATTTAATGAGGACAAAGAAGCCACCCAGTCACCTGGTGAAGCTCTGCTGCTTTGTGCCCCTTTTTGGGTCAGGTCGTCCAGGACATCCAGGTCTTGGTCTTTCTCCTCTTTTCTTGATTTTCACTGCCTGGGCCCAGCATCACTTCCAAAGACCTCCGTTTGTTTGATTTTACTGTATTTAATCTGCTTCACAGAATGTTACCGACTTGGCTGACCTCTGAAGAATCCCCCGGTACTGCCCTATGTCAGGCACCACAGCCAGCTGTGCTAAATTCGGGCACCTTTAGCTCTGCTGACTACTGACCCTGGGCATGCAGTCCGGCCGGCGAGATAGTGAGTGCAAAGTCTCACACAAATTGAGTCAATAGAAGTGACCCTGAACAACTGGGCTATTTCATAATTTAAGTTTATCAAAGAGAGACTTTAACATCCTCTCCCTCCCTCCCCTGAAAACCCAACACTGATAATATAGATTTTATATTGATCACAGGACACTACACAACAAACACAAAGACACTACACTTCTAGTAGGACGAGTCACGATTTCCTTTGATGTTGGGCTATGGAATAGCTAGAAAGTTACTGCTCATCACCACAGCAGGGTACCATGCGAGTGGATAGCTTAATAAATGCATTCATTAGTTAATGGCTTTAAGGGTTAGCTATTATATATATGGAATGAGGAAACCTCATTAGGAATGGCCACAGTCTCAGCAAAACTCAGCTCTAAATATGCAAAGACTTTGAAGTCCTGCTATTAACAAGATGACATGAATTGTAAGAATACATTTGACAGGCTCTAGTAAGACCCAGCAGATCGTCCATGACCTGTGCAAAGGCACCCCACAGTGGCAGATGGAACTGGCAAGAACTTGGTAGGAAACGTGTCACACATCCCCACAATAAAATGATACTTCAGAAAGACAGACAGGGGTGTCCTTCCCATGATAGTGGCAAAGAAGGGATCCTGGGTCGGGGAAGTCGATGGGAAGGAAAGAAATGGAAGGTGGGTAGAAGAGTAAAATAGGGGTTGTTGCATCCCAGATGCTGCCCAAGCTCCAAACTACCAAGCATTCTGCACTTCCAGAGTTACCTGGTGTGAGGTGAGGAGAGGGATGGGATGGAGGCAGCTTGCTGGACAGGGGGTGACTGCAGGCTGGGGAGGGGCTGGGAAGGGGTTGGGGACAGCTGAGGACTCAAATGACACAGAGGACAGACCACATACAAGACTCAACAAGGGGAGATCTGGCAACGTGCAGGCTAAAATGACCAAATCCATAGCAAACTCAGAAGGTTCACGTTCCCGAAAGGGTGTCACTGCCAAATCTCCACCTCATTTTGACACTTAACCTACAGAGTATGAGTCGCAGTAGAGTTCAACTGCTCTCATTGCAGCACGTCAGGGCAAGATATCCTTTTTAAGGTATAGTATTATATCTAGCTATATGGATCTATAGAGATATTTACAACTGGCCTCGCTGCCCTTCCTCTGTGCTGTGAAGCCTTCATGTGCATTGCTTCCAGACAAATCTTAAAACCCTCCTTTTCTTCACACTGCTCCAATCTCCCTTTATGACTTTATCCCAAATGAACTGCTTGCCACCACAGGGTTGAAAGCACCTCCAGGGTGCTGGAGACCCAAATCCACGTCAACCAACCAATGCTTAGGCTCCAGGAAGCCAGCCTTTCAATAGCCACATTGGGAGCTTCAGACATGGAGTCACTGCTCTCCCCTCCACCTGAATCTCTATATGGGGTATCCAAAAATAAAGAGGCAATTTTAGCTCTTCCAGTGGTAACTTTCTTGTTTTCAACTGTTGTACAAGATTTGTGTGTGTGTATGTGTATGTGACTGTACAAGTGTCTATTCTCAATGCCTCTTTCAGCCTCACTCCCCAGCCTGTTACCCCGAAACATGTTCCTCTAGGACAAAGTGAAATGCTCTGTACTTGCAGCTTCTTCCATGGATTAACCACTTCCTACCTCAAGGCACTAGCTCACCACTTCTTAGGACTACATTCACTTCCCCAGTCTTCTATCTAGGAGACAGCACAGATGGATGGAGGGACAGGGCAAACAGTGGAAGGGAACTGGGAGATGCTGCTCCCTGGAACAGGAAGTTGGAAAGAAACAGTCAGTTAAGCAGCCCGGCCAAATAGGGCCCCTCCACCATATGGGAGCAGGCCAAGGGAATTATAGTGGTTCTAGAAGGGTCACCAACAGGGAATACATATGCTTTCAGGGGTATTTCCTTTCACACCCATTCAAATCAGATAAACATAGATATGCAGACATGCCCTTATATACATGCACTCAGCATAGACCCATGTGTACACAAGCATACACATACATAAGCCACACTTTCACAGGGATGTGCACACACACGCATGCATCCACATGCTGTAGATACAATTCTGTACACACCAATGTAGATTTACACCACTAGACACGGCACTATGCAGCTTCTCAAATGGTTGTATATGTACATACACCCACCCTGCTGCATATGCATACACCCAGGTATATACAGAAACACAAACACAGAAGCACAGTTAAAGGGTGAGTGGGTAGAGGGGTAAGGGACTGAGGGAGAGACTGCATAGGGAGGAAGAGGTGGCATATGTTGAGTGCTCGGCAAAGTTCACTCCCTCACAACCTCCATCAGTGAGGTGGAGCTGCTTGGCAAGTTGGAATGCTGGCCAATCCTACTTCCGTTAGGGGCCCTGCTCAGTGGGCAGAGAGTGTGTTCTCCATCTGCTCACGTCACGCTCATTGGCTGGTCACCAGCCTATTCCTGCAGAGATGCCCCAGGTGCTAGAGGATGTGGTGGGGGCCCTCTGGAGCACCCTCTTTAGGGAGGGAAGAAAAGGAAATGCCTCAGTTGGGACAGTCAGGAGGAAAAAGACAAGAAAGAGCAAGTGGGGTGGATCTACCACTCACTGGCTGCATGTCCTCAAGCATGCGGCATAAGCTCCATTCGTTTTCCTTGGAACACTGGGGACAATGTGCTTTGCCTTCCCTGGCTTACAGGGCTCCTGTGAGGCTCCAGTGATGTAATGGGTCAGGGAGCTTGTTGACACTTACTATGCACTAGACAAATAGAAAGGATTAGTATATAGACTTACGATAGATATTCATCTGCTAGTCTAGATCAGATGGTAAAATAGCAAGTGTGAATTATCCTAACCTTAGTGCTTATTCACCAAGTGCTGTAACTGGTGATCAACTCAGCAACTGACGGAAAGCTAACTCCTGACTTAGACAGATGTATTGAGTCTCTATTGCCAAGCGTTCTGAAGCAGAAATATAGGCAAGTTCCAATCCCTCCGAAGAGGCCAGCTCAACTGTGTAATTTCCAACCTGACATCACCCCCCACCCTCTGCCAACCCCACAAGCTGAGTATGTGCTCTCTCACCCTGATGTCTCACTCTGCAGCCCCATCCACCCACATTCCCCTTCCACGCTTGCATCAAAACACCACAGTCAAATGCCATACAGTGGGGGAAAGGCACTTACAAATGCTCCCTAAGTTTCCTATAGGAAGTTCCCTGAACTTCTAAGCCATGGCTAGCCCTTTAGCTATGAACCCCAGCCCAACCCAGCTTGACTTTCTTCTATAAAGCCCTAAGCAGAGGGTGAACAAGACCCATAATCCCTAGGAGGAAACAAAAAAAGAAGAAAACATGTAATGAAAAAGAAATGTTGACACCTCAAGGGGGACAGAAAAGCCCCCCAGAAATGTTTGTGGGCAAAAGGCCCAGATCCTTGCCCCATCCCCCAACCTGGCTCTTCTCTGTCCTCTAAACATTTCCAGGGGCTTTTCTATGCTTATTCCTTGTTACAAGTCTTTGAAAAGGTGAGAGTCTTCTAGCAGGAAAGGAAATCCATGTGCTGTATACCTCCAACTCCTCCTCAATCCCTTCCCTTCCAGCTAGAACATGTTCTTTCCAATTACTCCCCACCTCATGTTTATAAAGAGAAGTATGAACTTATTGGATTGCCCAAATAACCACAAAATAAAAGGAACAAAGGAAAGAGGGAAAAACAAACCCAAAAGAAACTGAAAGGAGCACAGCACAGTGCTCCCGCTGTTCTGGAGCACTGGGGGACTAATACATATGGTATACCCAGTAAACAATGTTGAACAACCCAAAGGCCAGAGGGAAGAGGAACCGGGACCACTTGTCGACCTTTGGGACGTAGTCAGGATTAAAGAGATCGAAGGAGAACCCTTCAGTGAAGGAGCACCCAGGGCTTGGGGGGCAACTATCCTCAGACTCTGAGCTACTGTCCTTCTCTTGGCCATGGGCCATGAGCTCATCATCATTAAGGCCCCAGGTACTGTTAGTATCACACTTGAATTGCTCCTTAATGGCAAGGCAGTCGCTCTTGTCATTGTTGTCATCAAGGTCCCAGCCTGCTTCTTGCACACCCTTCTCGCCATGGTGAAGCATGGGCTTCCCACTGGGGCCATGGCCATGGCGCTCATCCGAGCTCAAGCTCTCATTGGAATCTTCATGGTCATGGGTAACACCATGGCCATGGGCTTCGACACGGTTGCGGATTTCGGTAGGAAAAATACTGTCATCAGCCTGGAAACCATTAAAGCGAACACCATAGCTGTGCCGGGCCTGCTCTGAGGTGGAGGGGAGATCGCTCAGGCTTTCTCCAGTGGCCAGGGGGGCCTGGCCTGAGAGAGAAGTGAGTGGGCTGAGGCTTTCCGAGGTGGCCAGCTGGGCCTGCTCGGAGGTGGACGTCAAAGAACCGAGGCTTTCCGGGCTTGCCAGGGGGGCCTGCGCTGGGGTGATGGGGAGAGAGCTGACTCCGTCTTCCACGTTAATCAGGCCATCCTTTGAGGAGATAATGGATAGGCTCATCAGTTTCATATCGCCTAGATGGATATGCACTGGGGGGAGGGAGGAGGGAAGGGACTTCCCTCATCAGCACTTGTAATGTTACTGATCTCTTTGACAGATAGAGCCAGCTCCTCTTGGGGTCTCTGGTGTTCAAGGGGTGAGGAACAGGACCAATCGGCTGTTAGCATGCAAGGGAAGGCTATGGAGGCTGCCAAGCCAGTGTCTCGCTGGAGGCAGCTGCTCCCTCAGGA
Source organism: Homo sapiens (assembly GCF_000001405.40). Lineage (NCBI taxonomy): Eukaryota > Metazoa > Chordata > Mammalia > Primates > Hominidae > Homo > Homo sapiens. The sequence goes on along the minus strand of NW_025791818.1, from coordinate 267,392 downwards.
GTGCTGTGTGGTGGATGGATGCCTGCTCAGGCAGGCAGGACCGGGCTTTCTGCGAAGGAGGGAGGTAGCTGGGCATTAACATACTGCCCACAGCAAAAGCCTCAGCATTGCCTTGGGAGTCTGAAGTGCCAAGGAAGGAGGGGTAGGTAGGCCAGCCTCTCCGGTGTCTGTCTTCCTTTCAGTCTCCCTGCGCCCATCTTCCCTTCCAGCTTCATTGCCTGCTCTGGAAGCATGCAAAGTGGACCAAATTCAGTCCAAAGGTCTGGAGAAATTTAGCTCTGCCACTTACTTGCCTTGTGACCTTGGACAATGATCATCTATAAAGGAGTGATGAGAAATAGTACTACTTCTTTGTTATATGTTGTGTGTGTGTGTTTTGCGTGTGCGCGCATGTGTGGGTGCGCGTATTTAAAAAGCTAAGAAATGCAAAAGGGTCAAAAGCGCTAAGCCTGGGCTCAAGAGGTGCTCAGGGAAAGCTGATTGTCAGTCAAAAAGTCAAACCTGCACGTTTCCTACCACCACTTGCTGGTAGCGGTAGCGGGCAATGACTCTTCGGGGTCTCCTGTGTCGCCTAGGCTGGCGCCGAGGTCCTCGACTGTAGAAAAGATAGTTGATGTAGACATACTCCAGCAAGGACAGGAACACAAAGAACAAGCACACGAGGATATAGATATCAATGGCCTTGATACAGGAAATGTTGGGGAGCTTATCCCGCAGATGTGAGTCGATGGTGGTCAGGATGAGCATTGAAGTTAAGCCTGTAAGCAACACAGTACAGACTTAGTCTCCTCTGATGGCTAACGTTCTTGGCAACCTGTCAGGCCCCCACCCAAACATATTTGGGGTGAGGAGGGCCCACAGCAAAGGCCTTCGGCTCTCTCTTTATTCCTTTTCCCCCATCTTTAAACTCAGCCCACGCTTCACTGGTTCAATGACTTCTTATTGCTCTTAGCGTCAAGTCTCAAACCTCTAGCCGTGGCTTCATGGCAATTGACATCTTCAGCCCCACCTTGGCCTATGATGGCTCCTTTCCCTTTTGCCTTTCTTTAGTTCTTGGGAAGGTTTTCTGAGCCCTAAACTATTACACAAATATAAAGCTTTAGTCCAGAACGTTCTCCTAAAGAGGGAGGCTGAGGAGTCTGCCCCACAGATGGTGAAGGAGAAACCAGACCTGGATCTGGGACACATTGACATTCTGCTGGATGGGGCCAGACAAACCAGGGAGTTGATCTCTTAGGTCTCTTCTTGGTACTGCTCAAAAATTTTTCATGGCTCCCCATGCTTAGACATAAAGTACAAGGTCTTCCTAAGCCTGACCAGGATGTCTTTGTGCTGCTCTCCTCATCTCCTCAGCTCCTGTCCCAGACACCCTGTGATTTAGCCCCCTTTTAATGGCCCCTATGGTCTAAACTTATGACTCGTCTGTTTACTTATGGATTCAAGAAATAATGAATTCTGGTACTCGGGGCTCAACGGGCCAAGATTCCAACCTTGATTTTTTTTCACATCTGTCTCTAATATCGGTCTCTCTATTGGGGATTGGCTGTGCACCTGTACAAAGGTGCAAATGTCTATTGGAAAAATCCTTATTTCCTTGCCTGTGTAGTTAGTCACACACTGTTCTGGGTACTTTTTCCTTACTCTCAACTTTTTTTCTGAGCCAAATGACCCAAATTCTTTCCTGGGACAGAGACAGAACCTACCAATTGTCACCCTGGCTGCAGAGGAATCATAGTTCATCCAAAACGATATCCAAGAGGTAATAGTGGTGAGGACAGTAGGCCAGTAGACTTGCACAAGGTAGCTGTTAACTTCCCTCTGAACCTGGAACTTCAGTATCAGGCGTATGTAGGAACCTGGCAAGGAGACACACTGGAATTAGGGTGGCAGGGCTGAGGCGCATTTGCAGGGTGGAGAGGTACAGGATGGAGAAGGAGGGGAGAGCAATGGGAAGTTCAGCTTGTAATACTCCATCCAGAGGCATCCAGCTTGGGCAGACTGCACTAGCAGATCAGTGACAGTGGCATATCTCAGTAGGCGCATGAGCATAGCAAGTCTGCTCTCTCCACTTTCCTTTCTCACTTGCTCCATGTTAGGTGAAGTTTTGGAATGGGAGAGGCAAGAGATGTTCCCAAGGTACAAACAGATGGAGGGTGAAAGGCCAGCCCTGAGAGGAGCATGAATCTTTTACACCTGCAGAGTGTTGTGAACCTGGCTAAGTGCTTCCACGGCCATTCCTCATTGGCGGTGGATGAGTCATTGGGGCTTTCTTAAGGGGGCCTGGAACCAGTAGGAAGTGGAAAAGGAGGCACCAGAGAATAGGAGCCAAAATCAGAGGCCGCTAGGAGTTTATGGAGGTGCAAGGCAGACATGAGACAGGAGAGAAGGAAGGGGTCAGACCCACCTGTGTAGAAATACACCTCCTTGCTAGTAATCGTCCTTCCCAGGAAAGTGAACTGAGGGATATGCAGCTCCTCAGTCATGTGGATGGCGTTCCCATTGTCATCCCAGAATAATATGATGTCTTCAACCGTGTAACCATCTGGGAAGGAGAGAAACAGAGGTAGTCTCAGATTCTTAGAAAGAAAGAAAAGCACAAAAAAGACATGCTACAAGCTCCTACCCACTAACTTGCACACACTTTCCCAACAGTAAGGTGACATTTTCCCAGAGGACCGTTTATGCTCTAAAGACCACCTAGTCCCAGATGCTGTATTTATACATCTATCTGTCAATAAGTTATCTATCACCTATCTATCTCTCCACCATCTTTCTCTCTTTATTTCTATCATCTGTCTATCCTCTATCGTCTATTTATTTTGGGAGAGAGAATGGGGGGAGGGAGGGAGCACAGGAGATACACTGGCCCTTTTACTGTCAATTCAGCCTCTGCTTCCCTGATCACCACAGCCCCAAGTACGGAAGAGGGGGCCATAGGAGACATACGTACAGCTCTCTACCACCAGGTTGCAGGCCTGCTTGTCCATAGGGAATTTATGCAGATCCAGGGAACAAGCTGCTGTAGTGGTGAGTCTGCAAAGGAAAACAAAAAGGAAGGAGAAAGTGAGTGAAGCCTAGGCAAACAACCATTGCTGAGGAAACTGCAGGGGTGGGGAGGGAAGAGTTATCCCAAGGACTGACCCATGTGTAGAGAGGAGAGAGGAAATTTGTTTGTGACAAAGTAACCAAGAGACCTGGCAGCACATAAACAGAGAACACACGTATGGCACCTCAGAAAACTGCAGGGTGTCAGATGGGAAGGGCCCCGGAGGAAACTGAATGCAGAGACGGAAAGGGGTGCTTCCTACAGAAGGAGTGAGGCTAGCAAGAGAAAACTGTGTGCTACGCCAAATCAGCTGAGACTCCAGATGCAATGTGGAGTGCTGGTGTCAAGTGTGCATGTACAGCTGGGAGCCTCCATCCAGGCCTGCCTCTGGCCACATCTGTACACAAGCCAGAGGTGCAGGCCTATGTGGGTATTGGGGACTAGCAAAATGTCATTGGGTGCGAAATGGACAGAAGGGATAAACATATCTGTGGTGAGCCATGGCACTGTTGACAGTACACGAAGTGGGCAGGAGCTTTAAGTTGCAATGTGGTGAGTGCATCCATAAGAAGAATCCGGCCGGGCGCGGTGGCTCACACCTGTCATCCCAGCACTTTGGGAGGCCGAGGCAGGCGGATCAGGTCAGGAGATGGAGACCATCCTGGCTAACACAGTGAAGCCCTGTCTCTACTAAAAATACAAAAAATTAGCTGGGTGTGGCGGCACTCACCTGTATTCCCAGCTACTGGGGAGGCTGAGGCAGGAGAATTGCTTGAACCCGGGAGGCGGAGGTTGCAGTGAGCCGACATTGTGCCACTTACTGCACTCCAGCCTGGGCAACAGAGTGAGACTCCATCTCAAAAAAAACAAAAAATAAAAATAAAAAAAAGAAGAAGAATCTGAGGGGTCTCAGAGGTGCTGAGAAAGTGGGCGAAGTGTCCAGTGGGAGAGAAGATAACACACAAGCTCTCTACAGCCTCCCCTGGGAGGCTCTGCTCCATCCCTTATTCTGCCCTTCTTATCTGCTAACCCCAGCTGAGTCCCTTTCAATTGCTTCCTTGAAATAATTTCCATTTTGTACACTGGATATGGTGTGCGCGTGCACGTGTGAGTGCATGTGTGTTTTTCTCCCTTCTATGAATCCTCCATGCAGCATTATTCAGCTAATTCTCCCTTTAAGTAGAACAAGTGTGACCAGTGACCTGTTCCCTGTGAGTCTTGTTATTTCCCGATTTCAGAGCCTGGGTCTGTGGGAAGGTGGATGGAAAAAGGAAGGAATGGAGCAAGAGCTCCACGGAGAAAGAGAAACCCAGAGATTAGATCTGTAAAAACCGTAAGAGCCAAACCCTGGTAACTACTTCTCAGACACATTTTCTGAGCTAAACTGATCTCTTACACACGTCTTTGGAGACAGTTTGTAAGAGATGCCGCTGTGAGGAGAAACTTGGTGACTGTCTCCTATGCTATAACTAGACTAGTGAGGAGGTTCAGCTTGCAATTGCTCCGTGTGTGTGGAGAGCCATAGACCAGAGACCCATGCCACACACACCCTGCCCCTCCGCACTCCTGGAGGCCCTGCATGATGCAAATATGACTGAAGGCAGAAAGCAGGCCCCCTCGTTCACTGCATGGACTTCAGCATTCATCTTCTCCCTCCCTCACTGCACAGAGAGAAAAGACAAAGATAAAGAACAGAATGCATGCAACACTAGGGTGGAGGGAGAGGTCTTTCAGTTGAGGGAATCAAGGAGGACTTCCTGACCAAGGGGGCATTTGAGTTAGGGATTTCAGGGTGGGCAAGGTTTCAGCTCATGGAAAGGGGGAAAGGACTGACCAATCCAGACAGAAGGAACAGCAGAAACCAAGGTGTGGGGACAGAACAGCTAAGGGTGTCTGTGGGAAACTGTGAAATTTCCACTTTGGCTACTGGGTAGAACGAGTGAAGGGGGAAGTTCAAGACGGGTTTGGAAAGCAGTGGGTGCCTTTGTGTGTCCCTTAGAGTGTGTTTGTAGAATATTCAGTAGGAAGAAGGAAGTCTGCTGGGACATCCCCAGACCCCTAGGGGACTCACCGGATGCCGTACCGCACCGTTCCATCTGGGTGAAGCTGAAACACGCGATTCTCCACAGTCACATCATGCACGAAAGCATCCTTGCTGTTCAGAAAGTAGCAGTCAGGGACCCACAACTTCTCATGCATCCGATAGTCCAGGGTCAAGTTCAGGGTGGTCTCATAGTATGCTAAGCGTGAATCTTTCCAAGTCTGATGAAAAAACATCGTGATCGTGTAGTCCTGGGAAGACAAATGTAAATCCCAGTTGTAAGTTTGGTTGTCCAGAGCTCCATCCTTGGTGTGTGTAGGGTGTGTGTGTATGTGTGCATGCACTTGTGTATGCAAGTGTATGAAGTATATCATAACTATATACAAGTGCGTGAAACATACGGAGGTTTAAAGAAAGAATAAAATGAATCTTGTGTAATTAGAATCCAGGTTAAGAAACAGAATATTACCAATAACTTTCAAACCCCAATGTATGTCTTCCAGAATATATTTCCCTCACACCCCCAGCAGTAACCATTATCCGAGTTTTTATGATAATTCCCTTGCTTTGTGTGAGAGTTTTATTGTCTATGTATTGCTGGAAAACATATTGCTTAGTTGGACCTGTTTTTAAAATTTTATCTGAATGAAATAATACTGTATGTATTCATAATTTGCTTCTTTCACTCAACATTATCTTTGTGAGATTCACTCAGGTGGACATGTGTAATTATAATTTGTTCACTTGCTTTTCTGGATAATATACGAATATACCACGCAGATTATCATATGAACATGCATACCAAAACCATGATGAAATAAAAATGATGAAGTAGAAGTTCCACTTTATATCCCTGCCGAAAGCCAAGCGCCAAAAAGCTGCAGAGGGTTCCCAGTGCTTTGGCTTCACCAACATTGGTATTGTCTGACTTTTGACTTTTGCTAATTTGGTATGTAATGGGTTCTCATTCAGGTTTTATTTTGCACTACTAACAAGGCTAACCGTCTTTTCATATGTTTCATATATTTACCTGCTGTTTAATTTTCTTACAGAAGTGATATTCTTGTTCATATTTTCTGATAATTTTTCTATCGGTTTCAAAATATTCTTATTAATTCACAAAATGATGCATATTTTGAATATGTCCTTCATGCTGCAAGCATCTTAGTCCACTGTGATTGATCCTTTCACACTTGTTATAATGGTTTTGTTTTGTAAAACAGGAGTTCTGTAAATTTGGTTACACAGAATTTCAATATAGTTGAAGGTACCAGATTTATTTTGTGTGGTCTGTGTTTTCTGTGTCTTTTTAAAGAAATCCTACTGCAAGACATAAAGCCAGTGTTCTACACTATCTTTTAAAAGCTTAATAAGCCTTTCACTTTTAAGTCTATAATCCATCTGGAGCCGAGTTTCTGGATGTGGTGTGGTGTAGGGGTTGAATTAATGTAGTTTTTATTCTGAATGGCTGCAGTGTCCCAAACCTACCTTGTTCCTTTATGTGAGTTCTGTCACAGGTCAGAACAACTGGACTTGGATTATAAGCCTGCTGCTTGTTCCATGTCCTCTGTTCCCAACCCCATGGCTGGAAATAACACACTTACCATATTCATTTCTGAGATCTGTTCAATGCTCGTGACATAAATAGATATTCTCACAGGCACAGGGGCACCTAGAAGACAGAAAGACACAGTTACACGAAAGGTAGAATAAAGGTTAAGAGCATAAACTTGGGAGCCAGGCTGCCTGGGTTTGAACCCTCTTTGAAACTTGTTAGTTGTGTGATCCTGAGTAAGTCACCTAACCCTGCTGAGTCTTAATCTCCTCATGGGTAAAATGGGGATAGTGATAGCACTGATCTCATAGTTAGAGCAAGGCCTCGCCCACGATGTGTGCAAAGGAAGGGGTCAGGGCAAAATAAAGAGAACGTTAAGGGATGAAGCACTCCTTCTAAACATTTTCCTGATAAAACCTGAAAAGCAACGAGCCCCAAAGCAGGAGCCAAGATTCATGGCTGTGTGTGCACATGTTTGTGTGTGTGAGTGAATGTGTGTGTTTGTGGGAGCACATGTGTGTCTGTGTGTAAGTGATTGTGTGAGCTGTGTATATGAGTGTATGTGAGCATGTTCATGCATGTGAGTGAATTTGTGTGTTCATGTTCAGGTGAATGTGCCAGTGTGTGTCATCATGTTTGTGTATAAGTGAATGTGTGAGCATGTTTGTGTGCTTGAGTGTGTTGTACAGAAGTAAATCTGTGAGCATGTGAATGTGTGTAGGTGTGTTGTGTGGGAGTGTATGATTGTGTTTGTGTTCAAGTGAGGGTATGACCGTGCATGTTTGTGAGCTTGTCTGTGTGTGAGAGTGAATGTGTGAACATATATACATATGAGTTTATGTGAGGATGCCTGTGTGGGAATATGTGAGTGTGGTTTTGTGGGACTGAACATATGAGCATGTCCATAAGTATGAGTGTGTTCGTGAGGAGGTGTGAATGTGTGAGTGTGTGCGTGTATTACAGTATGTGAGCCTGTTCATGTGTTAGTGGATTTGTGAGTATGTCCATGTGTGAGTGAACACCTGCGCATGTTCATGTCTGTGAACTAGCTGTGTTGATGTAAGTGTACATGAGCGTGTTTGTGTATTGTGTGATGTGTCCACCTGCACTGGCATACTACACATGTATATGGAAGACTGTATTAGCATGTTCGTGTATGTGAGAATGCTCATGTGTGGGTGAATGCAAGAGTATGTGTGTAAGCATGTTAATGTCCATGTACCTATCAATGTAGATGTGCATATTTTCAGCAGGTGAGTGAATCTGTGAGTATATTGTGAACACGTTCATGTGTGTGAGTGAATATGCGAGTGCTTTCATGTATGTGAGCACGCCCATGCATAAGTGAAAGTGTGGTTATGTTTATGTGTGTATGTGTGAGCATGTGTTTGTGTGTGAGGATGTTAATATGTGTCGTTTTTGAGTGAATTTGTGAGTGTGTTTGTGTATGTGGGCCTATTTGTGTGTGGGTGAATGTGAGTATATTCATATGTGTATGTAGATGTGGGAGCGTGTTTGTGGGTATGTGTGTTAATGTGTGAGTGAATTTGAGCGTGGTCTCGTATATAACGTGTGTAGTAAATGTGTGAGCATGTTTGCACGTGTGAGCATGTTAAAGTGTGTGAATAAATTCGTGAAGGTGTTTGGATGTGTGAGCATGTTTGTGTGAGTGAATGTGCATGTGTGTTAAAGTGAATAAATTTGCATGTGTGTGTGAGCATGTTTGAGTTTGAGTGAACGCGTGCATATGTGCATGTGTGGATGTGGACTTGTGAGTGTGTTTGGTGTATGTGAGCATGCTAATGTGTGAGACTAAGTGAATGTGTGATCATGCTCAGTGGGTGTGTCTATGTGTGAGAATGAAATTGTGAGCATGTTCATGTGAGGGGGTGAGTGCACAGGAGAGGGTAATTGTGTGTGTTAATGTGTGAGTGTGACAGTGTGTGAATGTTTGTGTTAGTGCACTTCTGCCTCCTAGCTTTTGTTCACACCCAGGTGTTAGCACTGTCCACTTGCAGTACTCAAATGTGTTCATGGATGTGAAAATATGTAGTACACTACACTGTAAGGCACTGTGGGCAAATCCGTTTTTATCGTTCGCTCCTCATCTCAAAGCTTTCTACAGCCAGTCCCACAGCAAAGCCCTTAGTCTCCATGTATTACATCACACTGCTGCTAGGGAAACATGCATGACGCCTGCAATTCAGCCTGCTGGTTTTACTGCAGGCTGATTGCCCAGAAGCTGAGCTGCAAAGAGAGAAATGTGTTATTCCAAGCCCAAAGCTTCACAAAGGAAAGCTCTATTGGGAATAAGCATCTGAATGGCAGCCGTGAAGTAAATGAGCCTCTGTGTTGGGGTACAGCCCAGACTCCAGCATCCAGGCCTGTTGTGAAGAAGCCCCAGAAAAGTGTTACGTGGTGACAGGAGTTCCAAGAAACACAGTTCTTGATGGCCGCCTTTCGGGCTCCCCACATGCCTTTAGAGAAGGGAAGCTGTGTTAGGCAGGCAACAAGCTCCAGAGGGGCCAGCCAGCTACACCTCAGTGTTAGACTTCTCTAGACCATTCCGCATGATTCAGGCAACTCCTTTCCTTATGGTGGAATGCTGGCGACCCCGAAGGGCTAGGCCAGAAACCTGTCCAAGGACTCCTAGTTGAAGGGAAAGTGGGAGCTGAAATGCAGTTCACATTCCCCTCACCAAGCCATGAGTCCTGGCACAGGGATGCAGCTCAGAGGAAGGGGACATTCTTCTAATTTATCCCCTTTGTGCTAGTAGTTGTCAGGATGAGAATTTAGATGAGGAATCCCATATCCCTAAACAGATAATGGGGGTGGGGAGGGGATGAGAAACGTCCTGATAAGGAGTCCAAATACCATGTCTAGGATGGTGGCCCCAGCCCATCACTGTCCCACCCTGCCCCCTCAGGAAGGCAGGCAAAGTGGTAGGGGTAATCACCTCCCTTTCTCCTGGAACCTTTCCTGCCTCAACTGTACTTCCTATCTAGCAGATGAATGAAGGAATGAAAATATCTCCTTCATTCCTTCACAATATCGGGTGCCTAAATCATGCCAGGTGCTAAGCTAGGTGAGGCCCTCAAGGGCGGCCTTTTGCCACAATGCAGAGTCCCAGTTCTCTTGCCTAGAAGGAATTGGCTTTGTTAATTTTCTCTGGATCCTCCTCCTCCTTTTCATCCTCCTCCTCTTCTCACTGTCCCCCGTATGCAAGGAAGGAATAAGGCTCCTGTTTGAACTGGGCCACAGTTAAGTGAGGCCTCTGCATGTGGAGGATGTGTGGGGAAGTGAGGGGAAGTATGCCCTGAAACTCTACTCCACCTCTCACACAGAGGGGAATTTGACGCTGTGTCTAGTGGGGGAGTCCTGGAGTCCCCAGGCGCTGACTGCCTTGGCCCAGCTATCCCATCAACTGGTCTCTCTTCCCACACGCACCATGCAACAGCCTCAGACCTAGAGCCTGTGGTGCCCCCTTCTGTTTAAATGCTAGAAGGTCCTGAGTTGTCCTTGCCCTCCTACCTTCATCGGTTTGGCTAAATCAAGCCAGGGATCCAGCTTTTCTCACACGCTGCAGGTGTGCACGTCCACAAAGCTTAGGGTAACCCTCCCCAGAGATTGATTCTTGCCCCTGCTCCCTCCCCCGGTCCTGGATGCCTGCAGAGATGTCAACCTGGCCCTGAAACAGTGGGGAGAAGGTGATTGGTGTACTCAAATGGTTGTTGGTCAGTCTCTGCTGAGAAACGTGAGAAAGGCAAGACAAAAAAACGAAGTAGCTACTCCCACGTCACCCATTGGTGCTTGGTGCAACTGATCCAAAAGATTCCAAAGTCGCTGCCATACAAGGACGTGCTGCCTGTACTCTAACACCTGGATTCCCATATGGCCAGACCTTTATCCCTTGGGGATCCACCCAGAAGACACGCTGCTGTTTTGCAATGAAAGAGCCTGCCTTCTGGCCTGTCTACCCTGGCTTCCCAGTATGCTCTCAGCTTTAATCCCTTGGGCTGTGCCTTCTGCTCTCACACTTCGGAGGGAGCAAGGGAGCTAAGGGGAAGCACCAGTTCAGGGTCCCACCTCCAAAGCTTAGGGCCCAGGACTACCACCTTGCTTTTCAAGGTGGCGCTCCCCAGGCCAAACTGGTCTACCGCAAGGGCCGAATCCTCTCAGCTGTGTTTTCTTGGGGTGGAGCCAGAGTGTATTTGGAAGACCTCTATTCATATGCATAAATGCAGATCATTAGCTTTCATTAACCCTTTGGAGTGGGAGCTTCCTTTGAGCTGGAATGTAACTAACCTCTTTTTTAATGGACTGTTTCTTTTGTTTGCCCTTGATCTAGGTTTCCTAGGTGTCCCCTGGGCTAGAGAATGCTGCGTTTGCTACGCCGGGTCAGGGTAGGTTGCCTGTCACTTAAAGCTGTGTGGTCCAGGCTAGTCGCCCTTTTTAAATGGGAGGCTAATTACAAAAATGGGGGAGGAACTGATGTATGATTTTCCTGGGGGTTTGTGTGTCAGCTTCTTTGTCGTTTCTAATCTCAGCAGCAGAGATCTGAGGACTAGGCTGAGGAGTTTGGATTTTATTTGGCAGTTAGATAAAACCATTAAAAGTTCCTGAGGTGATCCGGCTGGGTTTAGAAAGACCACACTGACTGCGGTGTCTTATATAAACTGAGAATGAGGGAGCTGAGGTGGAAGTGCCCAGGGCCTCGGTGGGTTAAGTACACTAGACAGAAAAGACCGTGCTCTCAGTTTGGAACTAGCTGAATGGGACAAGTGCCCAGGGTGTGAAGAATGTGCTCAAGTAGAAGAATATGTGTCCTCCCAGGAGCTGGAGCAGAAAACTCTAGCCTGAGGAACACAGCGCGCCGCATCCTGTACACCCATTTCTGTGCTTAGCTCTTTGCCAGCCACACCTTTGTAAGGGGAGTGTGGAGGAGGGAGAAGGCTCTCGTGCATCTGAAGGCAGAGAAGTGAGAGATATTACAGGGTGCAGAAGGCCTGGGGGTGCTTCCTTGCTGGTCTCTGCAGAGTCAGGAAGGTGGGATCTGGAGAGGCACAGGTGTAGAGCCCGCAGGATACCACTGGTCAGCTTACAGGGCAGGGCTGGCTTGCTGTGTCTCAGCTCTAGGACACCTAACCCAAGTTCTCTAGTGTCTGGATATGCCTTACCTCCAAAATTCGGTCTCAGGCGGACATCGTATCTTGACAGCACCCTGTCCAAAATCTTTTGAACCACAGCTTCATTTGCACAATTTTTGCTGAAACAGAGAAGTCATAAGTAAATGCCGGTTGACTTGGGGCCCGCTTGCCAGTGGTTGCCTTGCTAGGGCCTTCTCTTCTCCAGCACATACGCAGACATGTCCAGTCATACGTGTACACACTCTCTCTCCCTGCTCCCCTCCCTCCCCATGGTGAGTCAGCCAGAAGCGCAGCGGTGACGCAGACTCCTCTTTCCTCCCCCCCCCCACCTTCCCAGCTTTAATCCAGAGGGTGGGGCTCAGAGACTGGATCCCTGTTACCAGGCAGGACTTGTAGGGGTTGACGAGAGGAGGCGGTAGGAGAAGGGGAGACGAAGAAGAGTGGGCAGATGAAAGCCCTCAGAAAAATGCATTACTTCAGCCCCTTCAAGAGCCCCATCTTGCAATCAGCCTCGACGCTGTTTTCTAGGTTGGTGGGGGTCCTCCTGCCAGGGGCACCTGATTGCCCCAGGAAAAGTCATCTTTTGCTCTCAGTGCCCTAGTAAGATGAGCTCAAAGTTTCATTTCCCCTTACCTGGGCTAGGGCTGGGCATTTTTTAGTCACTTTTATGTCAACCTTGTTTCTGCACAACTCTGTTTTCCAGACTTGGCATATGGCATAAGACACACAGAGAGAGCCTTGCTGGTGTAGCTGAGATTTACGACCCTCATCCAACCAAACCATTTCAGATTCTTGGGGCTCAGAGCTCTCATCGGAAAGACATCTATTCTGGGAGCAGGTATATCTCTTGCTGAGCATGTGCTTCCACCCTGGAGGTGTCTTGGGTGAGCATAGGTAAGTGGACTCAGCCCAGCTCTGTGGAGAGCTGGCTTTTCCAGAGATCTCTGACACGCTCACCCAATTCACCTAGACCTTCAACAGGGCTCCTTCCCCAACAGGGCTTGCGAATCAGAACAGGCCCCGGCATCACTGTGACTCTTCAAATCTTTGACGCATTGCCCAGGGAACGTCAGCCCCTGCAAATGTGTGTGTTTGTGTGTGTGTGTGTGTGTGTGTGTGTGTGCGCGCACGCGCATGTGTGCATGTTCAGTGGCGCAGTATGGTATGTTGGGTTAAGGGCACTGCAGGGCTGTCTGCTGGAACCTTGCCAAACACCCCCCCCCCCTTTATGAGTACATGTTAATTTCTGGCTTGCCATTTAAACATTGTTAAAAATTATTCCTAATCATCTTTAATCAAAAATTTCATTTTGCAGCATCCCAAAATGTGCACATGAATTATTCCCAAATTAAAGCAATGCATTCCCACCTGTTTCCAAGCACACATTACCCATGTGCCAACGCTCAGGATCTGTGGCCACCCCAAATACACATTTCTGTGTGATTTACATGTAAAGGCTTCAGATACTCGCACACCCAAACAAACTTAAAATCAAAAAGAGAAAAAAACCGGAGTCTTCAAATATTTTCACACGACTAAGTACAAAAGCACACCCATCCCAGACCACACGGTTCGTGTTTATTCAGACACGATCGCACTGTCTGGGCTCCGATGGGTTTGAGTTAATCATTTCTATCTGCCGCATTGGAAAGAGTCCCTCATCCCCTCAACACATGCATGCACGCGCGCGCGCCTCAGGAAATGGACTAAAATGTAGACTCAAACAGGTGTCTCTCCTGTCTATGTTTTGTGAATTGCCCGTCATCCTGTACCCTCCTCCCCAATCCCACAGGTGCCAAAGCTGGGGAAAGCTGCCGGGAACCTTAAATCCTTGGGGATGGATGGACAGATCCTGGGACGAGGGCGACCCCCGCCCCCACCCCTCGGGCTGCGGTTTAGGCACACGCAGGGCTCAGTCAAGCTCCGCAGTAACAGGTGGGCGGAAGCACAGGGCTCCATTTCAACACCCCACTCCCACCTTACCCCTTCTAGGGGCCAACAGGCAGGGCCCGGGCGCCAGGGCTCAGCGAGCCCGGGTCCGAGTACCCCCCAGCCCGAGTCGCCCCCAGCCCGCTCCGTCCAAGAGGCCAGAGGTCGTCTGCCCGTCTCCATTCCCGTCCCCGCCGTGCCTAGCCTGGCGGTGCCCGCTTACCAGTTGAAGAGGTTCAGGACGACTTCGGGCACAGCAGAGGAGAACTCGAAGTGGAATTTCGGGATGGGACTGGGGTAGTTGCCCTCCGCGAGCCAGGTCCTGATGAGCAGCAGGATCACTGCGGCTCGCAGCATGCCTCGGATGCCCATGGCCGGGGCGTTCTGGGCGCCTGAGGGCGCGGGAGACGGGGCCGCGAAAAGGAACAGAGGTGGGGTGGGAGAGTGGGTGACTACTGGGGCCGGGGAAGGCGGGATTGCTGGCCCTTCCCCAAAGAGTCGCCTCTAAGGAGAGAGCAGCGAGGGCAAGGGAAGTAGGGGGTGCGGGGGTCGGCCCGGATACCGGAGATGAGAGCCCGGGAGGAGCAACCACCCAGCAGCTCTGCTGGACGCAGCTCCCCCCAGGGCCCGCCCGGCAGCTGCGAGGTGCGCTCCGTCTGCGGCCGCTCCTGGCTGCGACTGGGCACAGATCCCAGCTCGCTGCTGGCTCCGCCCACTCCGACGGCATCGCAGGCCCAGCCAATCGGACAGCTGCCAGGAGCCGCACAAAAAGGCGCGCGCTCCTGCCTCCGCCCGTAGCCTGCGCGCCGCCCGGCCCCCGCCCCTTCAGGCTTCTGCAGTCATCCCCCGGCCATCTCCAGACACAGGCAGGGCGGGGCCGGGCTGGGGGAGGGGGAGGAGGGCTGGCTCCTTGGGGGCTGGGCCAGGAATCCGCCTCAAGGGGCACTGGGTCCTGTCTCTTCTCTGCAAAATGCGAAATGTGTGTTTTTCTTGGAAGAAAGGGCCTGTGCCCGAGAGTTGTATTTGATGGTGAAGGGAGTGTGGTAATTTGACCGCCATGGCTGAATCTGCATTCTGAAAGACTTGGACAATTTTGGGCGTCAGGAGGTACCCAACGGCTGGTGACTCCGTACCCTTGAGCCTCCAGTAACCCCGCGTGCCTTGTCTCTGGATAAGGTCAAGGAGGATCCTAATGGGTTTTGTTACAGGGCTCTGGCCACAGCAGGACTGCTCCTCCCTCAGGATGGACATTGGGCTACAGGAGCCCAAGAGTTGCTTAAGACTTAAATTTCCTAGAGTGCTCTTCACCCCAACTTTGGGTACTCAGGAAAAAGACTCAAGGAACTGGAAGGGCTCACCAACTGGGGTCTCTCTGAGATGTGGTTGTGTCTCATCAGCCAGGGGATGCAGAATGAAGGTTCATGGCTGACACCATAGAAGGGGAAAAAAAGGCCAAGGTCAGTGTTTGGGGTGTTCAAGGGAGTTAGGCACTGGAGACCAGGGTATGCCAATGTTCCTGGGTTCTGACCCCATCATATGGAAAAGCCTGACATCTTGACTAGAGGGCTCTTATTCTTTCCACTACCTCAGACTCTGCCCCTATGGGACAGAAAAATCGTGGAGGATAAGAAATGCCTCCACCCAATTTCCTATGTCCTTCCTATCCCATGACAAAGCAAGTTCAGAAAGCTTAGAAAGTGGCCTCACCAGAGCCCATAGGGCAAATGGGTAATCAACAAACAGAGCTGCCATGTTCACCGGCATGCCACCTCCCACATCACACCATTGAGAAGAGTTGAAATCAAAACGGATTTCAGGTTTACTTTTGGTTACCTAGAACATTCACTGAGAAACACAACATCTCCCCCTTTTTTTCCCCTCAGTATTTGATGAAATGAGTTGAGATTGCTGGTGCCCAGCAAAGCATGACTTACCTGGTAGGCCAAGCAGTTTTGCACAGCTGAGGGTTTAACTCTTTTACCACTCCCCCTTTAAAATCATTTTAGAACCATACTTTTATGAAAAATGTCTCTCATAGTTTCCTGCCTTCTTTTAATGAGCAGAACACCCTCACACCTTTCTTTCCCATCTCCCCTCTTTCCCTGGCCATTGCAGTAAGAAAAAAGGATGATGGGACCCATTTGTCAGGATCACATATGAGAGCAGATTAAACCCACCTCTACTGCTACCAGTCCTGTCCCATCACCTCTGGTCACACAGACGTCCTTGTAGAGAAAATCCTTGTTTGCCAAAAATGTTAGAGCCATTCCGGGGCATTTTGTCCAGCCACCTCGGTTGTAATGTAGGGAAACTGAAGCCCAGAGAAGAAAAAGGGATTGGCCCAAGGTCACACAGTAGCAGAGGCCAAAACTAAAAACCACATTTCCAGGTCTGCTTACTTCGAGAAGAGTGCGTTTTCAGTCTAAGTCAGCTTTGACTGGAAGTTCTAGCAACCACCAGCAGGTGGGAGCAGATTTGTTTGAATGTGGGATGTTCCCAGCACTGAGGAATCAAATTCCACAGGCAATTGGTCTGGTCGCTCATTTGTTAGGGGAAACAAGCCTGAAGCCTGAAATTTTGTTCTTAGGTACCCTTGTGACTATGAAGATTGACAAAAAGTTGACGGCAACGATGAATTCTCTTCCAGAACTTACATCCCAGAAGGCCCTCCCCTACTTCGGGTCTCCCTAGAGGTAATGCTTCATTGAAATTTCTGACTCACAAGAAAAGGATAGCCAAAATACAAGAAATACAAAAATGCCATTATAATTTGTACTTATTGAGCGTTTGCCTAGTTAATTTATTATAATATCCATAAAGATCTAGATTGAATAAGCTTAAACCTGAATATGGGATAATGGTGTAGGACAAAGAACACTCATCTGGAAGTTAGCCCATCTGTGTTCTGACCCAGCTCTGCACACGACAGTGAATATTCCAGTTTGGCTAAAGGGTAGAGTAAGTTTGGAGGTAAGACAACAGGTGAGATAGGTAAGAGGTGAGAGATTAGGCAGAACCTGACTTTGTAAGCAACACACACTCAGTGTACAATAAATTCTTGTGTAATGAATGAGGCAAGAGAAAGAATCTGGGTCCTAATTTTCTAAAATAAAAAATTGTATTTTATTTTAGAGTCAACAGTAATCTTCTGAAGGATTTGTGCAAGGGAATGATACAATCAGAGTGGCACCTTCGCACTGAAGGAAAAACTGGGAGGGAGAGGGACTGGGGGCAAGAAGAGCACACATCTCCTTCTGGTAATGGCCAGCTAGGTAACTTGGACTAGCTGTTCCAGTGAGGACAATGAAACAAACTGGCTGAATGTAGAAAGAAATAATTGTCATAAAGAACTGAGAGATACTGAGGCTAAAATCCGGAAGAAGACAAGAACCCAGGGGGGAAAGCCCAGCACTAGAATCCTCTTTTGTCCTGATGGCTTCTACTGAATCTGGAAGAGAGTTATGAAATTGAGCTGCAGTTTTGGTGGCATCATAAGGAAAAAAGTGAAAGCTCAAGGCCCAAGGAAGTAGCGGATTTGATTAGCATTCTTGTCACTCTCAGCTGAGACCCTGAGTGGCTACCCCTTTGGGTTAATGGTGACCTATAAGTAACCAGCCCTTGTGTGGTCTTGTAAACCTAGATACTCATCATATGGGCAGTCCAAGGAACCTAAAGCCCTGATCTTGGATTAAAGTGGCCTTGGACAAGTAGTATCCTCAGGCATTTGAAAATACCCCAGCAAATGAAAAGACTCTGCTGGAAGGTATTATCATATTGGGCCTAGAATCATTTGTACAATAATTTTTCAAAAATATGTCAGCGTATAGTCAAAGATAACTTGGCATAAAAGGAAACACATAGACCATGACAGCCAGTAGACAACAAAAACAAACTCTCAAAGACTTCACGTATCAGAGTTACGTGACAAAGACTACAATAACTATGGTTCACTTTATTCCAAAAAATTAAAAATAAGTTTGAAAATATCTGTAAGGAACAGAAAATCATAAAGACTAATAGAGCTATTTTGAAAAAAATCAAGGTGAAAAACTAAACTATAACTAGTGTAGTTATACTAAAGACTATAACAATGAAACTTGAGAATTTAATGGATGGGTTTAAGAGAAGGCTAAACACAACTAAAAAGAGAATTATTGAATTGGAAGATAGGTTATAAGAAATTGCCCAGAGTTCTGTCTGGAGAAACAAATTATTTGGAAAAATAAAAAAGGGAGGATGAGAGACTCAATTAGTAGAGTGAGAAGGTCTGCCATATATTTAATTGAAGTCCCAGTTGAAGATGACGGCTGTAAATTTGAATTCACAGATTCAAAAAGCCCAATAAGTCATAGGCAAGATAAATTAAAAGAAATCTACTCCTAGACACGTTGTAGTGAAAGTAAAGAAAGCCAGAAGCAAAGAAGGCTATATTACTGGTCCAATTAAAAATAATGAGTTCCTGACCTAGAGCAAGAACAGGAGAGACTGAGACTAGGGGATGGAAGTTAGACCCTGGACTTTAGAATGCTTTTACTCATTTTTTTCCATGCTGAAAAAGGCACTTGTTAGAACAACCTGACACCTATGAGCCCTCCCTAGTTGTCATGCTTGGAAGGCCATTGTTCTATCGGTGTGTGTCCGTCATCTCATGGGCCATCAAAGAGGCAAATATTTTCCATGGGTGTGAAATGCTAGTTGCTGCTGAGGTCTAAGGCTGGAGAAATGTGCTTATATATGGCTTCCTAAGAGAAACCAGAATAAAAGTGAATCTTTGTAGAAGAGTTCCCTTCTGCTTACCCTGCCCTCATCATTCACTATTTCTAAGGAAAAACATACAAAATGAACAGTTCTGTGGTTCTCAGGGTGTCTTCCTACACTTGGGCTTCACTATATGCAATTGCTCCTTGGGCTATCTCATGCTGGAGCACAGTAACATTCCTGCAGGGGTTTATATTATAATACACTGAGCTACAAATAAAATAGGCTGTCTTTTGAGAGTGTGGGCTCCTTATTTGTTACTAGAGCTGTTTATACAAAGACTGAATGAATGGCCTCCTGTCATGGGTAGAATAGAGGAAATTCTGCTCCATGTGGGAAGTGGTATCAGAGCTCCTGTGTTTGGCTCAAAATCCTTCATGCATTTATTCTACTTGAGGGACAAGCATTTTTATGTACCCTTAAGGACTCTTCCACCACCACCACCACCACCACCACCACCATTACCACAGAAATCCCTTTTTCCAAGAGAGGAGAGTGGGAGGGCAGGAAAGCCTTCTCTATTGCCTAACCTCAAATCAATCAGAATGCTGTCTGACAGTGAAGACACAGACCTACCTTCACTTATAGCATGCAGTATGTGACCCACAATTTTGACTAACTGTCACAAAGGGAGGGGGTGCTGAATTTTTGATTCTGAGGTTCCATATTTTCTCTTCACTTTTTCTCGGAATTCACATTTTATGTAGGTCACAGCTCCCTCTCTCCCCCAAGCCTGCAGAAACGGGCACTGTATTAGGTATAGCATCTTCTAAAAGCATCTCCCTCCCTAACTATGAAAGAGCAGGAGCGGTGAGAATACTCCACTAACTCTAGAGTTTTTCTCCCAAGGACAGGTTGTATCGTAGTGTATTAAAGGGGCATTTGATTATGAACTTGAAGATCTAGATTGGAGCTCTGTCACCAGCTATTATACCTAGGCATGTGTCTCAGCCTCTGAAGCTCAGCTCTATCATCTGGAATATGGGGGTGGTAATAATGCCTACTTGTTAATGGGAGAATCCAGACAAAAAGGACTCCCTTTCCATCACAACTTCTAGCTTTGGGACCTCACCTCCCTTATCCAGTCAGATTTCTCCTTTCTCCATCTGGAAAGGCTGCGGTCACTACCAGATAGAGCCACTAGAGGGCCTCAGCTCTCCTGGTCTAATTGTGGAACAAACCTTTCCATTTATCTATTAAATAATTGTTTCTCCGAATCCAACAACAGCAGCAAAACACCTTATGCAGAAGCTCACTGAAACAGAGGGGGATAAGCACAGGGAGCAGAGACCTTTTTGAAGGAGGAAGTTTTAGTGCGCAAATGGATAGACCTTTATTTCTACACTGCGGTAGTTGCTGCCATCAGCTACTCTGCCCCTCAGTGAGGATGGTGATGGCTAACTTCTGTGCATCCCTGCCCCTGTTCCCAAGGGGTGAGAAACATTGATCCTGTACAAATCATGAACGGATATCTCCTGGAGCTGTGGAGGGCACAGCCAGAGTGGCCACATGTGGTACACCTGGTGAGAAAGGCTGCTTTCTTACGTGACTCCCTTACCCCTGTGATATAGTTTGGCTGTGTCCCCACCCAAATCTCATCTTGAATTGTAGTTCCCATAATCCCCACGTGTCGTGGGAGGAACCTGGTAGGAGGTAATTGAATCATGGGGGCGGTTACCCTCATGCTGTTCTCGTGATAGTGAATGAGTTCTCATGAGATCAGATGGCTTTATAAGGGGCTTTTCCCTCTTTTGTTTGGCACTTCTCCTTGCTGTCACCATGTGAAGAAGGATGTGCTTGCTTCCCCTTCAGCTATCACTGTAAGTTTCTCGAGGCCTCCCCAGCCATGCTGAACTGTGAGTCAATTAAACAAACCTCTTTCCTCTATAAATTACCCAGTCTCGGGTATGTATTAACAGTGTGAGAGCCGACTAATACACCCTGCTAGTCTTGCACCTGTCCTCAAATCATTTTGGGTTACACAACCCCCCTTAGCCCCTAATTAATGTACTCTTGTATCTTTAGCCGTGTGCTCTCTGCTCCTCCCTCAGGTTAAGTTCTACCTGACCAGAGGATTTTCTTTTAGATAGTCTTTTGACATCAGTATACTCTACATTTGTGGTAACAGCGATAATTCATAATAAGGCATTGAATCTTTCAGCAACTCTAGTCCCTTGTACTTCTCCAAATTGCTCAAAACCATGCTTTTCTGCACGATCTCTGAGACAGATTCAGTAGCACTCACTTCCATCTGCAGGCCCCTTTCAGTTAGTTGGGGCCATGTAACTGGTTTTAGACAATGAAATGCAAACATAAGTGGCACAGACTATTTCCAGGATGAAGCATTTGAGAGTCAGTTTACTATCCTTAAGCTCTCTTTCTTTGCCCTGTCGACCCTGAAAGCCATATGTTGAAGTGGGAATATCAAATATGGAGAGAACCTAGACCCTGAGTCTTCCGATAGAGGATGTGACCTGCATCTGACCATGTGTGACCTGGAAATCAAGCTTTGATATGCTAAGTTGCTAAGATTTAGGGACTTAGTTATCATTTCAGCAAAGCTTAGCCTAACTTGATAAATAGACTCTGGCACTCATCTCAGTGCCTGTACCATTAGTCTAAAGTCCCATGTACAACTCTTTCTGCATGTTTTACAGGTAGCTTGAATCCAAAATATCTCAGTCTTCTCCTAGTACTCTGCAAATATGCTCCTTTTGGTGTGTTCTCAGTCTCGGTGGACTGATATTCAGTTGGGACCTGGTTGGGACCTATAAGACATCTATAGCATTTCCTTCTATCTCCCCACCCCCATATTCAGAAAGTCATCACTCATTCATTGATTAGCTGTTCACTGAGTACCTTTTAGGTGCCAGGTACTACTCTGAGAACAGGGATATAAAAGTAGAAAAAAAAACAGTGAAAGAAATCCTTGATATAGTGGAGCTTATATTATATAGGAACAGGAGGCAGATTACACAGAATTGAAATGAATAAAGTATCTGGTTTATTAGATGATGATAAGTGCAACAAAGAAAAGCAAATCAGGGAAGGAGAGTAGAGAATGCTGGGCAAATGAGGTGGTAATGATTGGAGGGCAAAGACATTATTTTAAATAAGGTGGTCAAGGAAGGACTCATTGTGAAGGCAGACATTTGAGCAGAGACCTTAAAGAGAGGGTGTAAAGCCGTATAGACATTTACGGGAAAATGATTCCAGGAGAGTGGACAACAAGGGGAAATGCCTGAAGTTTTTGGTGTATGCAAAGAATAATAAGGAGGCCAGTGAGGCTGGAACACAGTGAGTGAAGAAGAAGAGAAATAGGAGGTGAGGCCAAAGTATAAACGGGGGCTAGATCGTGTAGTGACTTGTAAACCATGATAAGAACTTTGACTTTTACACAGAGTGAGATAGGAAGCTGATGGCGGATTTGGACATAGGAAAGACATGAGCATATTTATATCATGACAGTGGGATCATGCTTTTTGCCTATTGGAGAATAGGTTCCTGGGGTGGGGGTAGGGCAGAAGCACAGAGAGCAGTCGGGAAGCTGCTGCAATAACCCAGGTGACAGATGATGGGCTCAGCAGACCAGGGTGGTAGCAGAGGAAGATGTGAGATGTGGTCAGATTCTGGATATCTTTTCAAGGCAGAGTTGAAAGGATTTTCTGACAGATCAGACAGAGAATATGAAATTAAGAGACAAGTTACAAAGGATTTCCGGAGTTTTGGCCTGACTAGGTGGGGTAACTGATTTGCCATTTATTGAGTTGGGCAAGACTCTGGGAGGAAGAAGTTAAAGTGCATGAATAGCCAATAATTTTATTTTGAACATTTTCAGTTTGCTTTGATGTTAGGCGTCTAAGTGACGATGTTACACAGGAATTTGTATATATGATCACCACTTTCCCTGCCCAGCACATTTCTACTCATCCTTTAAGGCCCAGCTCAGCTGTGATGAAGCTTTTCTCCCAACTGGCCAAGCAAAGATAGTGACCTCTTCCTTCATGCTACAAGGGAGCCTTCGACAGTCCTGTGGAACAACATTTGACTCCCGTATTGTCATTACTGCCTTTCAGCTGTCTTCCACGACAGACTGACTGGGCACTCCTTTAGTCCAGGGACTATTTCTGGTTCATCTTGTGCCTGCCTAGAACACAGTCCAGAGTCTGGGTTATGGTAGGCACTCAAAAGATATTTGTTGAATGAAGCATCCCAGAAATGAAAATAAATTTTCCATAAGCTGGAGCTCATGAAAAATGAAGACTTGGAAATGGCCATCATATTTATTGGTTAGAAGGCTCATTGGTGACCCCTGGGACAGCAGAAGCCTGAGAGCCACACTGAGGAGTCAGGAATAGGACACCCTTCTGAAAGTGTTGCTATGTGGCCATTTTTGCCTTTCATTTTGATAGTCTTGTCAGTGTTTCTCAAGTGGTTAGGCGATGAAAGGGATCAAGATTTGTGTCTCCAAGTGCACTTCAAAGAGGGCATCCTCTTCCCTGGAAGAAATGCTGTAACTATAGTAGTGGGTAGGATTTATAAGGAGACAGATTGGCTTAGATTTACTTCTAATGGAGGAAGCACCAGAGTCAGACAAATTTAGCAGCTCAAATCCCAGCTCTGCCACTCATCAGCTGTGTGACAAGTCACTTTCTCTCCTTGATCCTCAGTTTCCTCATCTGTAAAATTTGACGTTGTGGGGATTAAGTGCA
Source organism: Homo sapiens (assembly GCF_000001405.40). Lineage (NCBI taxonomy): Eukaryota > Metazoa > Chordata > Mammalia > Primates > Hominidae > Homo > Homo sapiens. The sequence continues at coordinate 244,204 of NW_025791818.1, read as the reverse complement.
ATCAAGTTGGCAAAGCGCCTTCAATAGTTACTGACACAGTAATTGCTAGGGAAGAGTGGACAAAAGAGAAGCAATAGCAGGGCTAGCCAAAGATGGGGCTAGCGTTCCCCATTCCTGGAGATATTCAAGGACAGACTGCATTACCATTTTGTGGGAACATTATAGAAAGGATTCTAATGGTTGGACCAGTCGAAAATTGAGGTCCAGTCTAGCCTTGAGTTTTATAATTCTAAGAATCCCAAGGAATAGAAATGCAGATACAAATGTTGCTACTGAAACCACTCTACTCATAGTGGAGCACTCATGTGCCAATGGGTTTTTTTCCAAAGGCTTGTGTGTGCGTGGCAGCATTGTCTGTGTGGCAATGTTGTGTGGGCAGCAATGCTGTTGCTGATTTGAGAGCACACTGCCAGCTGTGCTGCCTGCTGCTGCCACACCTGGCACACTGCCTCAGCACTACATGTCCCTTCCATAGTCAAATAGGCCCCTGAAGTGACTGCATGTTCATTTTACTCTTTGACTCAGTCAGCTGGGGCCTCCCATACTAATCTCTCATTTACTCCTTTGCAGTATAATCATAATTGACTCCCGTTTGGGGAGAAGGCTTCAGGAGGTGGTACAGTGAGAATGCTTGCTGCTTATCTTGGCTTCACTGTGTGGCATCACCACCGATTTTTCAATTTGACCTTTGAGACTATCTCTGTGATGCTTCTCCCCACTGCGTCCTCCTCACACCCTGCTCCTACCCCCAGTTCAGGCCTTCATCCCTGTCTTGCACTCTTGTAATAGCCTTTTAATTAGTTTGCCCATTTGGTGTTCACCCTATCTGTAATCCACTCTGATTCTAACTTACACTTTTAGCTCCTTCCTCCTCCTCCTTCCTGTCATTCCCACCCAGCTCCAGTGCAGAGGGGCTACTGGCCTTTCTCTGAGTGACCCCCACTTGGCAGTTATTCAGTTTGTCTCCTTCATCTGCCAAAATTAAATCTATCTTTTAAACCCGAGACCGGATACCCTTTTCCCCAAAGCTAGCTGTGAGGGTTTTGACTGGGTGGCTCTATTTGTGTCCTGATCACATGGTGCCTTTTATTGGAGTCCTGTGTGTGCATCTTATTTCCCTTAAAAGTCTGGGAGCTTCATTTCTCTCATCAGTAGCTACATTCTCTCCATATCTCTCCTCATTTTGAAAACAAACTCTTCTTGTCCACCATGATTTCTCCCCTGAATCCCTACCTCATTAAAGAAATAAATGAATAAACCCAGTCAGGGTTTCTGTGGGTTGTACTGAAAAGTAATTTTAACACCTGACATCCTAAAAGCACAAATTACATAAGTAATTTTAGGGACGAATTGACAATTTAGAAGTCTGAGTGAAAAAAAACTCAGGCTACAAATGATTGATTCTGCTGAATGTTGCCTAAGTGCTCTTAATTAATCAACAAGGAGCCACATTTGCTCCCCTGATGACCTTTTCTCTCCTTTAGAAAAGCCAAGCCCAAGGGAAAGGTGTTTAAACTGTTTATTTGATTCATTTCTTAGCTTCTGAGCTTGACTACCTTAAGCCTTTGGTTTGTTCTTGAGGATTATGGGGCTTTTAAGAATTGAGCCATTCTCTAGTTTGCTCTTCAGGATATGGGCATATTGCATTCATCTAATCCCTTGAATTTACAGAGTGGGCTAGCATAGAAACCAGAAGTGAGTAGAGCATTTATTTGGGCAGCATGAATTTCTGTAAAAGAAGATGACAGGAACTCGCTGCAGTCCTTCTGTCAGCTCCCATGTTCCTGATGTTTATAAGAGCATTGCTTATGTAGTGAATCGTTCCCCTGGACACATTTCTTCCACATGGTGCCTAATGGGTTGAGGTGGAGCGTGAAGGGCCAACATGCGCTAGTGGACAAACAGCCACCAAAGCGATGTTTACTAACACTTTCACCACTAAAGTATGGCAAAGGGCTTTCAGAACAGGGTGCACTCATATTCAAGTGCATGACACCGTTCCAGAAGTTATGATGACCAGAAAAGCTTTATTTTGAATTGAAGGTGCTACTTGGGAGTCAGCTTTAGAAATAAAGTCAAAATGACCCTTCTTGTGTTCCATTAGATGTAAATATAGTGAGACAGCTTCTTCCCAATGAAATGCACTATTATAGGACTCTCCTTATACAGTACTTCACTTTAGATTCACTTAGATTCATTAAACTAAATGCTTGTTCCAGACACCTGACTTGCAAAATGTACTCCCTATTCCAGCCCACTGCTGAGAAAATGGCCAGCCTACTCCAGAAACCAATAATAATAATTTAATCACCACAATAGTGCTGTAATCTGGGTACTATTATCCTTCCATTTTCCAGTCAGGAGTGGAGAAGACATGATGGAGGTCAGAGCTTGAGCTCTGAAGCCCAACTGTCTGGATTTGAATCCCAGCTCTGACACTCACTTTCTGTGTGATCTTAAGCAAATTACCTAACTTCTCTGTGCCTCAGTTTCTTCACCTCAAAGGGGTATAGTAATAGGAATTCCTTATGGTGTAAAATGAATTAATACATGGAAAATACCTAAAACAATTGCTGAGCACATGGTCAATGCTCAAGTAATGGGAAATCTTCTGGAGTTAGGTGGCTGTTTTCTGGCCAATCAGTAAGACAAATGGGATGAAGAGAACAAAAATATGGGTCATTGGAGTAGGCCGGACTTACCCGTAGTTACTGGGATAAGCTATGTGATTCTGGTTGGGGCAGAGGCACATGTATAGAAAGGTTGCAGAATGCAGGCCAGAGGGAGTCAGTGCCTGGGATGTGTCCCAAATGTGTCTGCCCCAGCCTGAAGCTCCTAAAGCCTGGGAGATGAATAGAGGCCTTTTTCTACACACACTAGACTATAAGAAGAGTTGAGAACCCCAAGTAATATGCAAACTACTAAGTTCAACGAACCACAATTCATTTTTAAACAATTAATTCACCTTCTTAATTTAGATGTGGCAATTTACAAAGCAACGGACCACTTGGCATAGATTTTCTTTGGGGGACATGGAGCACAGTTATTGGCTTATACATAGACGCATCAAAAACCCTAACAAGGTGGGACCACCTTGTCATGTTATCTTGGAATTTCTAATGATTTGACTTGGCTTCGTGTTTTATTGGTACTGTACAATTTAAATATCTCAAACAGAGTTTCATTCAAGGCTCTCAGTCCATGTTGAACTAAATGATGACTCCCTTTACTTTCTAGTCACACTGTCAGGGAAATTTTTACAGCAGCAGCTTCAGCGTTTATACTCTGCTGTCAGCAACTTCATCTCGGATATCGATGTGGACACGGTGCTGGTTCACAATGGAGCACAGGGCAAGATACAGGATTTCTTTACATTTCCAGTTTGGTATAGTGAGGTATAGTGTGCTTAAAGAGACCAAACACCACCCCACCCTGCCAGAGAGAAAAGGAGAAATACAGCCCAGCAAAGTGTTTCTTGGCTTGAGTAAGGTTAGATATCATGCCCCTCACTTGGAGTTGGATTTCAGTTTCTGACTACCCAAAGGGTTTCACATCCAGCGACACTGGCAATGAGTGAGAAGAGCCCCTTAGTATAGATTCACCAGGCTGCTAAATAGGTGGACTATTTAGCAGGTGATACAGTACCCCTCCATCCATTTTTTCTTTCTTCTCTTAAAAATACCATCTTTATTAAGATATAATTGACATACCATACAACTCACTGTATTAAAGCGTACAATTCAATGTATTTTAGTGTTTTCACAGAGTTGTGCAACAGTCACCTCCATTTAGCTTCAAAACATTTTCACCACTCCCAAAGGAGACCCTTTACACATTAAGCAGTCACTTCTCATACCCCCTTCCCCCCAGCCCTGTCAACCACTAAACTACTTTCAATCTCTATGAGTTTGTCTATTCTGGATATTTCATATAAATGGAATCATGCAATATGTAGCCTTTCGTGACTAGCTTCATATACTTAGTTTAATGTTTTCCATATTCATCCACATTGTAGCATGTATCAGTACTGCATTTCTTTTTAAGGCTGAATGATATTCCATTGTATAGATATGCCCCATCTTGTTTTATGTATTCATCGGTAGATGGACATTTCTGTAGTTTCCACCTTGTGGATATTGTGAAAAGTGTTACCATGAAAACTCAAGTATATGTCTTCATTGTGTACACACAGTGTGATAACATCTGTTTTCAATTATCTTGGGTATATACCTAGGAGTAGAATTGCTAGGTCAAATGGTAATTCTGTGCTTAACTTGTAGAAGAACTACCAGAGTGTTTCCCATAGAGACTATACCATTTAAAATTCTCATCGGTAATATATAAAGGTCCAATTTCTTCGTATCTTTACCAACACTTAACATTTACAATTTTTTAAAATTATAGCTATCTTAGTGAGTAAAGTAGTATCTCATTGTGTATTTTTAAGAACAGCTTTATTGAAGTCTAAGTGATCTCCAAAACCCATACATATTTAATAAGTACAATTTGATGAGCTTATACATATGCACATACCCTTGAAACCGTCACCACAATCAAAGCAATAGATACACCCATCATCTCCAAAAGTTTCCTTATGCCTCTTTTTTGTTCTGTTCTGTTTGTTTTTTGTTGTAAGAACACTTACTGTGACATCTACCCTTTTAACAAATTTTTAAGTGCACGTATCATGGTGTTTTGATTACCTAGCTTTGTAATTTATTTTTAAATCAAGAAGTGTGATGTCTCTGGCTTTGTTTTCCTTCTCAAGACTGCTTTGGCTATTCTGGATCTTTTTTAGTTCCATATGAATTTTAGGATTTTTTTTTTGTGGGGGGGAAAGCCATTGGGATTTTGATGGGAATAGCATTGAATCTGCAGATGACTTTGGGTAATATGTACATTTTAACAATATTGAATCTTCCAATCCAGGAACACAGGACGTTTTTCCATAGATCAGTTTCTTCTTTAATTTCTTTCATCAATGCATAGTTTTCAGTATAAAAGCCTTTCTCTACACTGGTTAAGTTTATTCCCAAGTATTATATTCTTTTTGATGATATTGTAAATGGAATTGTTTTCTTAACTTGCTTTTAGGATTGTTCATTGCTAGTACCTTCAGGCGTCACTTAATTATGGGGATCCATTCTGAGAATCGTATCATTAGGCGACTTAGTCATTGCACAAATATCAAAGCATACTCACACAACATAGACAAACCTGCATGGCTTGTTACAGTACTGAATCCTGTAGGCAATTGCAACACAATGATAGATATTTGTGTATATCAACATGTCTAAACATAGAAAAAATACAGTAAAAATATAGTATAAAAGGCAAAGATGGTATATCTGTATAGGTCATTTACCATGAATGGACCTTGCAGAATTGGCATTGTGTCCTATACAGTAGTGTGCATAGGACATTATTGCACACTACTGTAGACTTTATAAACACTGTACATTTGTGCTACACTAAATTTATAAAAATTCTTTCTTCAATAATAAATTAACCTTAGCTTACTGTAACTTTTTGTACTTTATAAACTTTTAAACTTTTTCACTGTTTTGTAATAACACTTAGCTCAAAATACAAATACATTGTATAAATGTACAAAAATGTTTTCTTTCTTTATATCCACATTTTAAAGCTTTTCTCTCTTTCAATTTTTTTTGTTTTTGCTTTTTAACCTTCTTTGTTAAAAACTAAGACACAAGAACACACATTACTCTAGGCCTACACAGAGTCAGGATCATCAATATCACTGTCTTTTACCTCCACATTTTGTCCCACTGGAAGGTCTCCAGGGGCAATAATACACATGGAGCTGCCATCTTCTATGATAACAATGCCTTCTTCCAGAATACCCACTGAAGGACCTACCTGAGGCTGTTTTATAGTTAACTTCTTTAATAGGTAGAAGGACTTCACTCTAAATTACTGATAAAAATATAGTTTAGTAAATACATAAACCAGTAACACAGTTGTTTATTGTCATTATCAAGTATTATGTACTGTATGTAATTGTATGTGCTAGACTTTTATATGATTTACAGTGCAGTAGGTTTGTTTACGCTAGCATCACCACAAACACGTGAGTAATGCTATGATGGCTATGGCTTCACTAGGCCATAGGAATTTTTTAGCTCCCATTATAATCTTATGGGACCGTGGTTTTATATGCGGTCTGTTGTTGACTGAAATGTTGTTATGTGGCGCATGAATGTATACAGAAATATCACTAATTTTTTTGTGTTTATCTTGTATCCTGAAAATTTGCCCAATTCAATTAAATATTTTTTGGGGAATCCTTTGAGATATTCTCTACATAGGATCATTCCAGCTCTGAATAGAGCGTTTTACTTTTTCCTTTCCTACTTGGATGCCTTTTTCTTTTTTTCATATCTAATTTGTCTGGCTAGAACTTGCAGTATGATGCTGAGTATAAATGGCAAAAGACAGCATCATTGTCTTAACCTTAGGGAGAAACCTTTCAGCTTTCACCATTTATATGATGTTAGTTGTGGGATTTTCATAAATGTCTCTTATTTTGTGAGGAATTTCTTCCCTTCTATTTCCAGGTATGTTGAGTGTTTTTTTTTTATCATGACAGGGTGTTGGCTTTTGTAAAATTCATTTTTTGCATAAATTGAGATGATCACCTGTTTATTCCCACCTTCATTCTATCAGTGCACTCTATTGCATTGATTGATTTTCATATATTGCAGTACTTTTGGCTTCTTGAGATAAATTCCACATAGTCATGATGTATACTCCTCTTAAAATGCTGCTGGATTCAGTTTGCTAGTATGTTGTTCAAGATTTTTGCATTTGTATTCATAACAGATGTTGGCCTGTATATTTCTTTTCTTGTCTGGCTTTGATATCAGAGTAATGCTGACCTTCTGAATGAGTTAGAAGGCTCTCCATACTTTTCTATTTTTTGGAAGAGTTTGAGAAAGATTGGTATTAATATTTTAGATAATTTGTAGAATTATCCAGTCATGCCAGTTGGTCCTGGGCTTTTCTTTGTTGGAATGTTTTGATTACTGAGTCAATCTCTTTACTTGCTACAGTTTATTCAGATTTGGTATTTACTCTTCAGTCAGTTTTGGTAGTTTGTATGTTTCTAGGCACTACTTCACTCATCTCCTTCAACCATTCTTGGAAAAATATTTATTGACATTGTACCATGTTCAGGCACTGTGCCCTGCACAACCAGTCACATGTTCTGCTTCTGAGGAAGTGAAATTTTAGTAGAAATATACACAGTGAAACAAGGGATTCCAATACAATGTGATGTTGTGATATACATTCGAGGGGCCTCTGAATCAGGCTTGAGGGCTCAGGAAGAAAATTGCGTGGCTGGGGTAGAGGTGATTGGAAGTTTTAATTTTTATTCTTTCACACCTTTTTAACATCAACCCTGCCTCAATTTATAAACAAGTCCTACTTAAGAGTAAAATGTTAAATCCAACCACTTTTCTATACCTTCACCTTTTCACTCTGGTCCAGTTACCATTATTTCTCAGGTGGATGGACAACTATAGTAGCTTCTAACTGGCTCCCCTACCTCTGATCTTGTCTCCTGTGGCAAATATCATAGATTAGCTCATTTCACTCTATTCCAACCCCAATTGTAGTAGACCTTACTAAATGATAGAGGTTGGAAAGCTAAAGACTATATTTCCCATGCCCCATAACAGCCTGGATTCCACAGATGATGTAACCTCTGCCAAGTAGACGAACTTGTATGTGATTTGGAAGGGGGAGTGAAGCAGAGTCCCTACTTCTGCTTCTGTGATTTCTGTTTTCTGTTAGGGAGCATGGTGCTGGAAGCTTTTGATTCTTCTGCATCAGCAGTCACAGAGATCCCAAGGTAATGTTCCTAGTTTTGTGGACATCAAAAGGCAGGTCATGGGGTGTCCACCTCGCTTATGTAGATGGAGAATGAGGTAGCATGGTCTTAGAGCCAAGACTTGTGATGAACTTAGCAGAGGTGGTGAGGTCCTGGGGCCAATTACTAAGGCAGTGGCTTCCTGATTCTCCCAATGGTGCCAATTATATGTGGTGTTATTCTGGGAAACAGGTTTGGAAATTCAACCTAGAGTCTGTTCTTTTGATTCTTTCAACAATTTTGGAAGCACCAAATTCCCCCTTTCTACTTAAATGGGCTAACATGGTTTCTGTTTTCCGTAACAGAACTCTGCACTTTGCTCTCTACACAAAAGCTAAAGGAAATGTTAAAACAAAATATATCCTAACTTCTTTGCTCAAAACCCTCCAATGGCTTTCTGTGCCACTTGCAATACAAATCAAACTCTTAATTTCCTTTCATTCTTCCCTGGCTCGCTTCATGGAAGCCCTACTTGTCTACTAGCTGTTCCTGAAACACAGCAATAACACCCCCATCTCAGGGTCTTGCATTTGCTATTTCTCTGTACCTGGAATACTCTTCCTCTTGATAAGTGTGTGGCTCAGCTTTCTACTTCATGCCAGTCATCTTTTTTTAACCCACGGTAGCCCAGTTTCACTCTCTTTGACATTACTGTCTTGATTTTCTGCAGAGCATGCATCACTTTCTGGGATCATTTTGTTTACTTGATTTTTTTGTGTATCATCTGGAATACAAGTTTCATGAAGGAAGAGGCCATGTCTGATCTTTTCAGTGGATTCTAGGGAAAAACAGTTCCCACACACATTGCAAATATAGCTAGGAATTCAGAAGGAGGAAGAAGAAATAGAAAAGGCTAGACATTTTTGAGCACTACTAGGATGTTTAAGGAGTGTTAGATGGCAAAGTGCCAAAGACTGAAAACACAAATCACCTGATAAAGGTGGCATTTTCCGAAGAATATTCTTGCAATTGTGAAACAAAAATTATATGTGCAAGCAGTGTGAATAACAGCCAGAACTGTGTCTGCAGTGAGTGCCATTACATCATTGGCATCCAATTAGAAGGCTCGTTCATGACCTGCTCTGTGACTCATTTAGCATTTTCTTCCAAAAAAGCATGTACTTGGTCTTGTCTGGTCATTTGGGAAGTAATAAAACAGGGCATTTGGGTTCTTATCATTGCAAAAAATCATTTGCAAACCTCTCTTGTGTATTCAACCCTGTACTAGGCATTCTGGGATGAATGTAGGGAAGGGAAAAGTCACAGATCCTATCTACAAAGAAGGTGGGTAGATGAGATACTGTCCAATAAGGGTCAGGCAGCTGACTAGGAAAGGACTATCCTGTAGGAATCAGATGATGTGGATGCTCTGGAGAGGGAAGAGGCCACGAAGACAGAGAATCAGAAACCACAGCATCAGTGAACAGGAGACTCTGAAGTGCTTTGAAACTAGGGTAGAATTCAACATCCAGCCTTCCAGCCCCAACTACCAACAGCTCCCAGGCCACAGACCGTAGGCATCAACTGAACTACCCAGGACAACTGCCAATGCCCTGTCTCCCACCCTTGCCTGGGCCTCAGGCGGCTTAAGTTATTTTCTCATTGCTGCCAGACACTGTTACAGTCTCTGTGGCACTGTGTATTCATAATCACAAATCTTATCCAGACCCTCCACACTGCTTAGCATTCCTACTTTGTTTCCTAGCTAGCTATCTCATCCTTTCTCCACAATTATAGTTTATCTTGTACATGGTCCTTAAGAACCTTTTCCCATAGCAGATTACCTTACTCTCCTACTTCATGGAGAAAACAGAGAACTGCAATCCGAATGGGAATTTCCTCAGTTTTCTGTCATCAAACCTTGTGTTGGTCTCCAGCCTCTTGTCCTCCAGGCAGAGTCTGCACACAGAGACTACTGCTGGGGTCACTGATAAGGTTTGGCTGAACCCATCTAACAATGGAATGTTCCACTGTCTTGGTATTTTTGTCCACATGACCAAATCTAGTTTGGGGCTGAATTGATCAGACATTTTTATTCATGCAGCCATAATGGAATGAAATATCAGATGCTGCAATGTTGATTCCCCATGTTCCTGAATCCTCTGTATTAGAATCTCTACATGTGCTTGTTGAAAATAATTTTTCCATAAAGTAATTTCTTTGTACACTAACTTTTGAGAACCACTGATATTGACCATAACTAATTTGTCCAATGAAAAAGTTCTGGAATGGGCCTTCTGTCACAAATGAAGGTGGACCTGCCTATACTGTAGCTGTAGTTATTTAAAAGATAGGGTCAATCACAAACCAGAGAAATCCTCTTAGACCATCTTTTTTTCAGACAAATTTAAATACTCCCATAGCCATCAAAACACACATACACACCCAGAGCCTGCTCTAATGCGTGGAGAACATGTTAGCCCTCAAACTCAGTGCTAAAAAGGTGTTCAACTGTGGGAATTATCACAGTACTGTACGATATTCAAGACTTTCTTTGTGAAAGAAAACACGCCTACAGAAAAATGCATAGAATGTAACTATATGGCATAAAGAATAATTATGAGGTGGGCATTCGTGTAACCACTATCCACATCAAAAAAAAAAAAAAGCATGACCAGTCTCCCACAAGTCCTTCATGGTCTTTCCCAACACCAGCCCCCCCAGTTAATGTGTATGGTTTTTTTTTTATATGCACGCCTCATGTAGTATATATTCTTGTGTCTGGATTCTTCGACTCAGTGTTATGTTTGCAAGATTCATCCAATTTGTTTCTTGTAGCCAACTTTGTTCATGTACTTTCCTGTGTGGTATCCCATTGATGGATATGCCACATGTTGTATACCCATTCAACTAGCTTTGGAATTTGGATTGTGTCCAGTTTGGGACAATTACAAGCAATGCAGCTCTGAGCCTTCTGGGCTGTGTCTCCCAAGGCATGTGTGCATGGGATTCTCGAGTCTAAGTGCCTAGCTGTAGTATTGCTGGGTCTTAGGGTAAACATATTTTAAACTTTTTTGGGTACTAACAGAGTGTTTCTATTAATATCTAAATACGTATGAATTCCTTCCATCCAAAAGTTAGTAATATGCTATTTCATTTCCAGACTTCTTGGTTTTTATTTATTTATTTTTTATCAGCTTTTATTTTGATTTCTGGGGTACATGCGCAGGTTTTTTACATAGGCAAATGTATGCCATGGTGGTTTGCTGCACAGATTAACCCATCACCCAGGTATTAGGCCCAGCACCCATTCGCTGTTCTTACTGATGCTCTCCCTTTCCCCGCCCTCTCGACAGTCCCCAGTGTGTGTTGTTCCCTCTCATGTGTCTATGTGTTCTCATTATTCAGCTCCCACTTATAAGTGAGAGCATGCAGTGTTTGGTTTTCTGTTCCTGCGTTAGTTTACTGAGGATAATGAAATGTACATTTTGGTTTTTAAATGCTGTCTTTATGTTATTAACTTCTGCATTAGCATTATGATCAGAGAGCCTATTTTGTATGATATTGATCGTTTGGAGTTTATTGAGGCTTTTTTCTCTTTTCCTAAATTCATATTCTACTTCTGTAAATCAGCAGTGTGCCTCTAAGTAATGTATATATTTTTTGTTGGGTATAGAGTTTTATATTGTCTAATCACTCAGATTTATTACTATGTCTTTGATATCGCTGCTTATTTCTGTTGTTTGAACTCTCAGTTTCTGAAAGTGGTGGGTTAAAATCACTAGCTGTGATTAGTAATGTGTGTATTTCTCCTGACAGTCTTAAAACTTGGTCACCTAATAACATGGTGTAAAAATACAAGAGCAAAAATTGACATAACTATAGGGAGAAATAAGCAATCACAGTTGGGTATTTTAACACATTTCTCTGAGTAATTGATAGAACAAGCAGAACAAAAATCAGTTAAGTACATGGAAGACTTGAAAAAAAAAGTGATTAACAAACTTGACCTGATAAAGATATATATATATATGCTACCTCTACCTCTACATCTACCTATCTCTGCCTATATTATCTATATCTATCTGTACATCCATGTCTACATCTGCCAAACAATTGAAAAGTACAGCTTTTTTCAGCACATGTATAACATTTTTGTAAATGATCACATTATGTCCAGAAAGAAAATCTTAACAAATTGCAAAGGATTGAAACCATACAGAGCGTGTACACTAATCAGAGTGGAATTCAGCTAGAAATCAATAACAAATAGCCAACTAGAAAAATCTCTACATGTTTGAAAATAGTAAATTTAAAATAAATTACAGATAAAAAGAATAAATAATAATGGGTACTTGAAAATAATTTGAACTGAAAAACAATGAAAATACCAAGTAACAAAATTTGTGGGATGCAGTTAAAGTAAGAATCAAAGGAAAAGGAAGAAAGCCTTAAAATTAATGAGCTAACTATTTTTTCCAAGAAGTTAGAAAAAGGACAGCAACACTAACTCAAACAACAGTTAGAAAATGAAATTAAAAACTAACATTTACAGTGGTATTAAAAATATGAAGTACCAACAAAAAACTCTAATTAAAATGTGTAAGACTTTCACAGAGAATATGACAGAATCATATTGGGAGACAGCAAACAAGACTGAACTCAATACAGATACTATATTCATAGATTGAAAGGCTCAATATTATAAATATGTCAACATTCCTTCATTTTATTGATAATTCCATGTAATTACAATAAAAATTCTAACAGGTTCTATCTTGTAGAATTTTTCAATATAATTTGAAAATTTATACAGAGAAGCAAAGGTCCAAGAACAATCAAGATACTCCTAAAGAAAGTGGTGAGGAAATTTGCTCTGCCAAATATCAGTTTAGGGCTATAGCAATTAAGACAGTGAAGTCTTAGCCCAAGATAGTTAAATACATCAATGGAACAGAATAGAAAACCCAGAAACACCTCCACTCCACCATCTTCTCTGAATGATCCCTTAATTTTCAGGCCTTAACTGCAACCTCATTATTCACTGAAGACATAGCTTACCCTGAAGTCCTCTCTAGTGGAGACTCTGTTCTCTCATATGCCAAATACCTTAGGGCCAGAAAAGAGGTGGGTTTTCCTCAATCCTCTGTTGCTTCTAGGCCAAAAAATACCTGCCCATTTGAGGTTTAAGCCATTCCACTATGTCATCTTCTATGCCTCCTTCATGCTAGCATCCACTGACCTCCTAGTTATTCTGACTTAGCATGGGCTTGGTGTTCTGGCTTGTGCTCTGGCTCATGGTCTTTCTCTCTGCTCCATCCTACCATCTTTCAGAGGACTTCAGTATCCACATCAACCACCCAGCAGTTTGACCTTTTCATTTCTAGTGAACTTCTCTACCCTGTAGTAGCCACACTCATCTACACATACAGTTTGGGTTTATTCTTCACCTGAAACTACTCTACCTCTGACAGCATAAGTTAAAACATCAATTTTGGATTACAACCTCCTAGCCATCCTGCTCTCTCATTCTCCTATTCCCTCTACACCTGTTCTTTGATCTTATTGAGATCTCCATCCCTTGACCTCTCTATTTCTTGCCCATCTGTCCTCTCTTCTTTTTCCCCCTCATCTCCTTATTGATTTGGTTTGGTGAAACTCTCCTCTCTACTTGCATTTTTCTGTTTCTATGCAGACTTACTAAGTTGTAAATACATCACCTACCACTTATTTTCCTATATTTTCAACATCTCCTTTCATTCCCACATTCAGTAATGAACCACATCCAATTGTTGATTCTAAATTCTATGTTCTTCTCTATGTGCCTTCACCAACTATCTTAGATCAGCAGTTCAGCATCTCTCACATAAGTTTCTGCACTGCATTGCTGCCCCTCTCTGATCTTTCCTCCACAGTATTTTCAGAATGATATTTCTAAAATACATATTACTTCCCTAGTTAAAGTTTTCTGATGGCTTCTTCTAGCCTTAAGGATAACTCCAAACTACTGACTTTGGCATCCAAAATCCCTGCCTGCCTCTTTACCCTCATTTTCCGTCATTCCACCTTACAAAATCTTTTCACTGCAGTCACACTCAAACACTGGCAACACTCCAAGTGCATAATAGCCTTTCATGTCTCTATGACTGTCTTTGAAATTGCTGTCCCCTTTGCTTGGAGGTCCTCTTGCCTGTCATTACTTCTCTCTCTAAGTAACTCCTCATCTTTCAAAATGTAGCTTACCTCATTCTCCTATGTGCTCACTTTGAAGTATAGGGCACTTATCCAAATGAACTCTGGTCATTACTCTGTTAGCCAAGATACATTGAGCTAGCCATTAGAGCTTGTGCTATACAACAGACTTTGAGCAAATCTTGGGTCAGAGACGATGCCTTGTTTTTTGAGCCTCTGATTGCAAGATCAAGGCCAGGTACATGATAGGTGGTCTTTTAATAAATTTTTATTGATTGAGTGAAGAAATGAGTGTTTCCCATCTCTCTTGGACTTCAATGTGGTCCTAATGATGCCTTGGAAAAAGTAATAAAATTGTTTTCCAGGATTTTGAAAACTTGTTTAGCAAAATACAGAGCTAAACGTAGAGCTAAAAAAAAAAAAACAGTAAAATCCTCTTATTTTTTATCTAAAATTGGGTGTGAGTCAACTAGGTTGCTGTAAAGGCCTCACAGAGACCTGTCTTGTAGATATAGCTTGGCAAGAGACCACCCCAAAAGGAATCCTTGAATTTATCAATGAATTTTAAGAGAGGAAGAAACAAATTTGAATTTAACATGTGCATAACTCTTGGAAGTCTGAGTAGTCGGGATACGTAACAGAGACTGATTTCAAGTAGGCCTATACAGTTTGGGGCCCAAGCAGGCCAACTTCCACATGGTTTAGGGTACACTAAGTAATGTAAAAAGTAGCATCAATGTCACTGACTTTTCTCAGCCACACTGAGGAACCCTGAAGCCCACATTAACTGAAAGACAAAGTTGTTAGTTCTAGTGCAGCTGTGAGGAGACTTGCAAAGTAGTCTCTAAAACTAAAAGTCAGGAAACAAAAAAGAGTTTTAAAGAAGTGTAGTCTCTACTTGTCATTACTCTTGTTGTACAGAAAAACAGGCTTGCAGCAGGGAAAATATAATGCAAAAGTTGGCAGCCTTTCCATGGGGCCTATTTGTCAAATTTTCTTTCACTTCCCCCACCAAACCATGGAGTTAAAGGTGGCAGTTTTCTTCTTGTGGGGTGCAAAAGAGTGTTTGAAATGAGACACAACAATGGGAAGCCTCTTTATGCCTTCCTCTCTCAGTTTGGACCTAGATCAGGCTAGAAACTCCCTACTTAGAGCCCAAGGCTCCACACAGCTCCACTGGGCCCAGGAACAAGGAAAGCCATGACACTCCTATCCTGTTCCCTCACCATAACCTTTTCCAGGTCTGCCTGATAGTCATCAAGAACACAAGGCAGAACGCAAGAGGAGGGACTGAAAGCACTCAAGAAAGACCCCTAGAGAGCCTGCCAAGGCCAACTCTAGTAGGACAGGCAAGAAAGAGCTGAGCTTTCCTTTTCTCACTCTTCTGGAGCTCTTCTCTCCTGCAGCCCCTTTGGATGCCCACATCACAAATCTTGATTAAAAGATAAATACTGATAGATGAGGAACAAGGATTGGTTGGACCATGGAAAACACTAGTCTCCAGGCTCTGGAAACTTCCTGGGATTAATCTTGGGAGGTGATTCTTAGCTTAGAGGGTTTGAGGGTGGGGGAAGCCAAGAGAGGAGCAGGCCGAGAGCTATATTGGCTGTCTTGTTGATTGCTACATTTCCAGAATTTAGAATCAAGCTTGGCACATATTAGGTGCTCAGTAAAGTAAATGATTATTAACTGACTGAATGAACAAACGACTGTAAAAAAGGGCAAAACTTCAACAACAAAAATTATACAGAGCACAGAGCTTGTTTAAGTGCCATCAAATAAGTTGGTATTACTAGTTTTGCAGAGTTAGTGAAGCCTTTGTGTAAATCTTCAATGCCAGGTTTATTTTGTATATAGTAGAATCCATAAAAGTTTCCTCATAGGAATTTGACATGATCAGAGTTAGGTTTTAGGGGGTTCAGTTTGGCAATATTATGAAGAATGTATCTGTGGGAAAAGATATGAAAATAACAGAAAAGTTAGGATGCTATGCAGGAACAAAAGTTCAGGCAAGAAATAGTAAAGGCACCAGTAAGAATGACTATTACATAAAAAGTTGAATAATATTGGGAGGCCGAGGTGGGCGGATCACGAGGTCAGGAGATCGAGACCATCCTGGCTAACACGGTGAAACCCCGTCTCTACTAAAAATACAAAAAATTAGCCAGGTGTGGTGGCGGGCACCTGTAGCCCCAGCTACTCGGGAGGCTGAGGCAGGAGAATGGCGTGAACCTGGAAGGCAGAACTTGCAGTGAGTGGAGATTGTGCCACTGCACTCCAGCCTGGGTGACAGAGCTAGGCTCCATCTTAAAAAAAAAAAAAAAAAGCCAAGATGGCTGAATAGGAACAGCCTCTGGTCTGCAGCTCCCAGCATGATCGATGCAGAAAACGGGTGATTTCTGCATTTCCAACTGAGGTACCTGGTTCATCTCACTGGGACTGGTTGGACAGTGGGTGCAGCCCTTGGAGGGTGAGCTGAAGCAGGGCGGGGTGTCACCTCACCCGGGAAGTGCAAGGGGTCAGGGGATTTCCCTTTCCTAGCCAAGGGAAGCCGTGACAGACTACCTGGAAAAATGAGAAGCTTCTCTCCAAATATTGTGCTTTTCCCAAGGTCTTAGCAACCGACAGACAAGGAGATTCTCACCTGTGCCTGGCTCGGCGGGTCCCATGCCCACAGAGCCTTGCTCACTGCTAGCAAAGCAGTCTGAGATCAAACTGCGAGGCCACAGCCTGGCTGGGGGAGGGGCGTCTGCCATTGCTGAGGCTTGAGTAGGTAAACAAAGCAGTTGGGAAGCTCAAACTGGGTGTAGCCCACCACAGCTCAACAAGGCCTACTGCCTCTAGACTCCACCTCTGTAGGCAGGGCATAGCTGAACAAAAGGCAGCAGACAACTTCTGCAGACTTAAAAGTCACTGTCTGACAGCTCTTAAGAGAGCAGTGGTTCTCCCAGCATGACGTTTGAGCTCTGAGAACAGACAGACTGCCTCCTCTAGTGGGTCCCTGACCCCTGTGTAGCCTAACTGGGAGACATCTCCCAGTAGGGGCCAACAGACACCTCATATAGGTGGCTGCCTCTCTGGGACGAAGCTTCCAGAGGTAGGATCAGGCAGGAATATTTGCTGTTCTGTAATATTTGCTGTTCTGCAACCTCCGCCAGTGATACCCAGGCAAACAGGGTCTGGTGTGGACCTCCAGAAAACTCCAACAGACCTGCAGCTGAGGGACCTGACTGTTAGAAGGAAAACTAACAAACAGAAAGGAATAACATCAACATTAACAAATAGGTCATCTACACCAAAACCCCATCTGTAGGTCACCAACATCAAAGATCAAAGGTAGATAAAACCACAAAGATGGGGACAAACCAGAGCAGAAAAGCTGAAAATTCTAAAAACCAGAGTGCCTCTTCTCCTCCAAAGGATCGCAGCTCCTCACCAGCAATGGAACAAAGCTGGATGGAGAATGACTTTGACGAGTTGACAGAAGTAGGCTTCAGAAGGTCGGTAATAACAAACTTCTCCGAGCTAAAGGAGGATGTTCGAGCCCACCACAAGGAAGATAAAAACCTTGAAAAAAGATTAGATGAATGACTAACTAGAATAAACAGTGTAGAGAAGACCTTAAATGACCTGATGGAGCTGAAAACCATGGCCTGAGAACTTCGTGACACATGCACAAGCTTCAACAGCCGATTTGATCAAGTGGAAGAAAGGGTACCAGTGATTGAAGATCAAATTAATGAAATGAAGCGAGAAGACAAGGTTAGAGATAAAAGAGTAAAAAGAAATGAACAAAGCCTCCAAGTAATATGGGACTATGTGAAAAGACCAAATCTACATCTGATTGGTGTACCTGAAAGTGATGGGGAGAATGGAGCCAAGTTGGAAAACACTCTTCAGGATATTATCCAGGAGAACTTCCCCAACCTAGCAAGGCAGGTCAACATTCAAATTCAGGAAATACAGAGAACACCACAAAGATACTCCTTGAGAAGAGCAACCCCAAGACACATAATTGTCAGATTCACCAAGGTTGAAATGAAGGAAAAAGTGTTAAGGGCAGCCAGAGAGAAAGGTCGGGTTACCCATAAAGGGAAGCCCATCAGACTAACAGCGGATCTCTTGGCAGAAACTCTACAAGCCAGAAGAGAGTGGAGGCCAATATTCAACATTCTTAAAGAAAAGAATTTTCAACCCAGAATTTCATATCCAGCCAAACTAAGCTTCATAAGTGAATAATATCCTTTACAGACAAGCAAATGCTGAGAGATTTTGTCACCACCAGGCCTGCCTTGCAAGAGCTCCTGAAGGAAGCACTAAACATGGAAAGAAACAACCGGAACCAGCCACTGCAAAAGCATGCCAAATTGTAAAGACCATGGATGCTATGAAGAAACTGCATCAATTAATGGGCAAAATAATCAGTGAACATCATAATGACAGGATCAAATTCACACATAACAATGTTAACCTTAAGTGTAAATGGGCTAAATGCCCCAATTAAAAGACACAGACTGGCAAATTGTATAGTCAAGACCCATCAGTGAGCTGTATTCAGGAGACCCATCTCATGGGCAGAGACACATATAGGCTAAAATAAAGGGATGGAGGAAGATCTACCAAGCAAATGGAAAGCAAAAAAAAAAAAAAAAAAAAAAAAAAAAAAAAAAAAAAAAAGCGGGATTGCAATCCTAGTCTCGGATAAAACAGACGTTAAACCAACAAAGATCAAAAGAGACAAATAAGGCCATTACATAAAGGTAAAGGGATCCATTCAACAAGAAGAGCTGACTATCCTAAATATATACGCACCCAATATAGGAGTACCCAGATTCATAAAGCAAGTCCTTAGAGACCTACAAAGAGACTTAGACTGCCACACAATAATAATGGGAAACTTTAACACCCCACTGTCAATATTAGACAGATCAACGAGACAGAAGGTTAACAAGGATGTCCAGGACTTGAACGCAGCTCTGCACCAAGTGGACCCAATAGACATCTACAGAACTCTCCACTCCAAATCAACAGAATATACATTCTTCTCAGCACCACATCACACTTATTCTAAAATTGACCACATAATTGGAAGTAAAGCACTCAGCACATATGAAAGAACAGAAATCACAACAAACTGTCTCTCAGACCACAGTGTAATCAAATTAGAACTCAGGATTAAGAAACTCACTGAAAACCACACAAGTACATGGAAACTGAACAACTTGCTCCTGAATGACTACTGGGTAAATAATGAAATGAAGGCAGAAATAAAGATGTTCTTTGACACCAGTGAGAACAAAGACACAACGTAACAGAATCTCTGGGACACATTTAAAGCAGTGTAGAGGGAAATTTATAGCACTAAATGCCCACAAGAGAAAGCAGGAAAGATCTAAAATCGACACCCTAACATCACAATTAAAAGAATTAGAGAAACAAGAGCAAACAAATTCAAAAGCTAGCAGAATGCAAGAAATAACTAAGATCAGAGCACAACTAAAGGAGATAGAGAAACAAAAAACCCTTCAAAAATCAATGAATCCAGGAGCTGGTTTTTTGAAAAGATCAACAAAATTGATAGACCACTAGCAAGACAAATAATGAAGAAAAGAGAGAAGAATCAAATAGACAAAATAAAAAATGATAAAGGAGATATCACCACTGATCCCACAGAAATACAAACTACCATCAGAGAATACTGTAAACACCCCTAAGCAAATAAACCAGGAAATCTAGAAGAAAAGGATAAATTCCTGGACACATACACCCTCCCAAGACTAAACCAGGAAGAAGTTGAATCTCTTAATAGACCAATAACAGGCGCTGAAATTGAGGCAATAATTAATAGCTTACTAACCAAAAAAAAGTCCAGGACCAGATGGATTCACAGCTGAATTCTACCAGAGGTACAAAGAGGAGCTGGTACCATTCCTTCTGAAACTATTCCAATCAATAGAAAAAGAGGGAATCCTCCCTAACTCATTCTATGAGGCCAACATTATTCTGATACCAAAGCCTGGCAGAGACACAACAAAAAAAAAGAGAAATTTAGACCAATATCCCTGATGAACATCGATGCAAAAATCCTCAATAAAATACTGGCAAACCGAATTCAGCAGCACATCAAAAAGCTTATCCACCACGATCAAGTCGGCTTCATCCCTGGGATGCAAGGCTGGTTTAACATATGCAAACTACAATGAGATACCATCTCAAACCTGTTAGAATGGCAATCTTTAAAAAGTCAGGAAACAACAGGTGCTGGAAAGGATGTGGAGAAATAGGAACACTTTTACACTGTTGGTGGGACTGTAAACTAGTTCAACCATTGTGGAAGTCAGTGTGGCGATTCCTCAGGGATCTAGAACTAGAAATAACATTTGACCCAGCCATCCCATTACTCGGTATATACCCAAAGGATTATAAATCATGCTGCTATAAAGACACCTGCACACATATGTTTATTGCGGCACTATTCACAATAGCAAAGACTTGGAACCAACCCAAATGTCCAAAAATGATAGACTAAATTAAGAAAATGTGGCACATATACACCATGGAATACTATGCAGCCATAAAAACTGATGAGTTTATGTCCTTTGTAGGGACATGGATGAAGCTGGAAACCATCATTCTCAGCAAACTATGGCAAGGACAAAAAACCAAACACCGCATGTTCTCACTCATAGGTGGGAATTGAACAATGAGAACACATGGACACAGGAAGGGGAACATCACACTCAGGGGACTGTTGTGGGGTGGGGGAAGGGGGGAGGGATAGCATTAGGAGATATACCTAATGTTAAATGAAGAGTTACTGGGTGCAGCACACCAGCATGGCACATGTATACATATGTAACAAACCTGCACATTGTGCACATGTACCCGAAAACTTAAAGTATAATAAAAAAATACACAAATCAATAAACGTAATCCAGCATATAAACAGAACCAATGACAAAAACCACATGATTATCTCAATAGATGCAGAAAAGGCTTTCAACAAAATTCAACAGCCCTTCGTGCTAAAAGCTCTCAATAAACTAGGTATTGATGGAATGCATCTCAAAATAATAAGAGCTACTTATGACAAACCCACAGCCAATATCATACTGAATGGGCAAAAACTGGAAGCATTCCCTTTGAAAACTGGCACAGGACAAGGATGCCCTCTCTCACCACTCCTATTCAAGATAGTGTTGGAAGTTCTGGCCAGGGCAATCAGGCAAGAGAAAGAAATAAAGGGTATTCAGTTAGGAAATGAGGAAGTCAAATTGTCCCTGTTTGCAGATGATATGATTGTATATTTAGAAAACCCCGTCGTCTCAGCCCAAAATCTCTTTAATCTGATAAGCAACTTCAGCAAAGTCTCAGGATACAAAATCTGTGTGCAAAAATCACAAGCATTCCTCTGCATTGTTAACAGACAAGCAGAGAGCCAAATCATGAGTGAACTCCCATTCACAGTTGCTACCAAGGGAATAAAAAGCCTGGGAATCCAACTTGCAAGGGATGTGAAGGACCTCTTCAAGGAGAACTACAAACCACTGCTCAACGAAATAAAAGAGGATACAAACAAATGGAAGAACATTCCATGCTCATGGATAGGAAGAATCAATATTGTGAAAATGGCCATACTGCCCAAAGTAATTTATAGATTCAATGCCACCCCATCAAGCTACCACTGACTTTCTTCATAGAATTGGAAAAACTACTTTAAAGTTCATATGGGACCAAAAAAGAGCCCGCATTGCCAGGACAATCCTAAGCAAAAACAGCAAAGCTGGAGACATCATGCTACCTGACTTCAAACTATACTACAAGGCTACAGTAATCAAAACAGCATGGTAGTGGTGCCAAAACAGATATATAGACCAACGTAACAGGACAGAGGCCTCGGAAAGAACACCACACATCTACAACCATCTGATCTTTGACAAACCTGACAAAAACAAAAAATGGGGAAAGGATTTCCTATTTAATAAATGGTGCTGGGAAAACTGGCTAGCTATATGTAGAAAGCTGAAACTGGATCCCTTCCTTACACCTTATACAATAAATTAATTCAAGATGGATTAAAGACTTAAATGTTAGACTTAAAACCATAAAAACCCTAGAAGAAAACCTAGGAAATACCATTCAGGACATAGGCATGGGCAAGGACTTCATGTCTAAAACACCAAAAGTAATGGCAATGAAAGCCAAAATAGACAAATGGGATCTAATTAAACTAAAGAGCTTCTGCATGGCAAAAGAAACTACCATCAGAGTGAACAGGCAACCTAGAGAATGGGAGAAAATTTTTGCAATCTATCTGTCTGACAAAGGGCTAATATCCAGAATCTACAAATAACTTAAACAAATTTACAAGAAAAAAACAACCCCTTCAAAAGTGGGCAAAGGATATGAACAGGCACTTCTCAAGACATTTATGCAGCCAGCAGACACATGAAAAAATGCTCATCATCACTGGTCATCAGAGAAATGCAAATCAAAACCACAATGAGATAACCACAATGAGATACCATCTCACGCCAGGTAGAATGGCAGTCATTAAAAAGTCAGGAAACAACAGATGCTGGAGAGGATGTGGAGAAATAGGAACGCTTTTACACTGTTGGTGGGAGTGTAAATTAGTTCAACCATTGTGGAAGACAGTGTGGTGATTCCTCAGGGATCTAGAACTAGAAATACCATTTGACCCAGCCATCCCATTACTGGGTATATACCCAAAGGATTATAAATCATGCTACTATAAAGACACATGGACACATATGTTTATTGTGGCACTATTCACAGTAGCAAAGACTTGGAACCAACCCAAATGTCCATCGATGATAGACTGGATTAAGAAAATGTGGCATATATACACCATGGAATACTATGCAGCCATAAAAAAGGATGAGTTCATGTCCTTTGCAGGGACATGGATGAAGCTGGAAAACATCATTCCCAGCAAACCATTACAAGGAGAGAAAACCAAACACCACATGTTCTCACTCATAGGTCAGAATTGAACAATGAGATCACTTGGACACAGGGCAGGGAACATCACACACCTGGGCCTGAGGGGGTGAGGGGCTGGGGGGAGGGATAGCATTAGGAGAAATACCTAAAGTAAATGATGAGTTGATGGGTGCAGCAAACCAACATGGCACATGTATATACCTATGTATCAAACCTGCACGTTGTGCACATGTACCCTAGAACTTAAAGTATAACAAAAAAATAAAAAAAGGTTGAATAATAACGGATGTTGGCGAAGCTGCAGAGAAAAGTGAATGCTTATACACTGTTGATCAGAATGTAAATTAGTTCAGTCACTGTAGAAATCAGTTTGGAGATTTCTAAAAGATCTTAAAACAGAGCTACAA
Source organism: Homo sapiens (assembly GCF_000001405.40). NCBI lineage: Eukaryota > Metazoa > Chordata > Mammalia > Primates > Hominidae > Homo > Homo sapiens. The sequence continues at coordinate 220,804 of NW_025791818.1, read as the reverse complement.
TTTGACTCTGCAATCCCATTACTGGGTATATATCCAAAAGAAAATAAGTGGTTCTACCAAAAAGACACATGCAGTTGCAAGTTCATCACAGTGCTATTCACAGTAGCAAAGACATAGAATCAACCTAGGTGTCCATCAATGGAGAATTAAATAAAGAAAATGTGGAACATATACACCATGGGATACTATGCAGCCATTAAAAGAATAAAATAATGTTGCTTGAAGCAACATCCATGCAGCTGGAGGCCATTATCCTAAGTAAATTAATGCAGGAACAGAAAACTAAATAACACATTCTCATTTATAAGTAGGAGCTAAACATTGAGTGCATATGGACATAAACATGGGAACAATAGACACTTGGGACAACTAGAGAGGGAAGGCAGAGAGTGGGTGTGGGCTGAAAAACTACCTATTGGGCGCTATGCCTGGGTGATGGGATTTCTACCACAAACCTCAGCATCACGTAATAAATCCATGTAAGAAAACTGCACATGTACCCCTATATCTAAAATAAAACTTGAAATTATAAAAACAGCAAAAACAAAATTAAAAAAAAAACACCCAGTCACCTCTGCAAAAATGGAAGTTGAGCTGAGTTTACACTGGACTCTCTTCTCCATTGTGATGGTTATTACTTAATAAAGACTATTCTTATCAAAAAAAAGAAGTAATAAAGGTAACAATATTGAGTTGGTGAGAATATGGAACAAGTAGAGCTTTTATCCTCTGTCATTGCGAGTGTAATTAGTACAACCACTTTGCAAGTAAACTGACATTAACTAGTAAAGTTGAACTTAAGAAAACTCAATGACCTAGAAATTTCACATCTAGGCATATGCTCTAGATCAGTTGTTCAACCTTGGGATTATTAATATTTAGAGGGAGATAATTCTTTGCTGTTGCTGCGGTTTAAATGTGTCCCTCAAAATTTATGTGTTGTAAACTTGATCCCCAATGCAGCAGTGTGGAGAAGTAGGATTTTAAAGAGGTGATTAGATCATGAGAGCTCTGCCCTCATGAATGGATGACTGCAGTTATTACAGGAGTGGATCCCTGATAAAAGGATGAGATTGCCCCTCTTCTATTCTCTCTCTCTCTCTCTCTCTCTCTCTCTCTCTCCCTTCCTCCCTCACCATCTCTCTCTTGCCACGTGATGCCTTCTGCCCCCATATGACACAGCAAGGAGGCCCTCACCAGATGTGGCCCCTTGATCTTGGACTTCCCAGTCTCAATACCATGAGTCAATAAATTTCTGGTCTTTATAATTAACCCAGTTTCAAGTATTCCGTTATAGCTGCACAAAACAAATTAAGACATTTGTGGATTGCATTCTAAGCATTGTAGGATGTTTAACAGCATCCCTGACCTCTATCCCACTAGATGCTAGTAGCACCCCCACTCTAAGTCATAATAACAAAAGATGTCTCCAGACATTGACAAATGTTCTCTGGAGGTGGGCAAAATTACATGGAGTTGAGAACCACTGCCCTAGAAAAACTCTTGTACATGGGTATTAAGAGATATGCATGAGAATGTTCATAGCAGCATCCTTTGCAAAAGCATAAAACTGGAAACAACCCACATGTTTATCAACAAGTGAATTAATAAAGTGTAGAATTTTCATATCATGGATAACTATTTTGCAGTGAAAAATAATTACTGCAGCTACACACATCAACATAGACAAATCTCATAAACCAAGTTGGGAGCAAAAAGGAAGAAGCCAAAATATAAGACATATAGTGTGACTGCATTTGTATTAGTTCCCAAAAGAGACAAAATGAAATAACATATTGCTTAAAGGAAAATACCTATGAAATGAACATATAAAGAAAAACAAGTGAATGATTAACGAAATTCAAGATAGTGGTTACCTCTGGGACCTCAGGGAGAGCATAAGTGGGTTTCAGAGGCTTCGATCATATTTTAGCTCCCATATTTGGTGATGGGTATGCAGGTTTTCATTTTACTATAATGTATTCCTTACATATATATGAAATATTTTATTTTAAGAAAATGATGGGGTCTAAAATAAGGCAGGAGGAGTGGAGGACACTAGACTATTGACTAGAATCAATAACTAAGTAGATGTTAAGTGAGAGAGACAGAACAAACAACCTTTAACTGCCTCTTGAGTGGATGCAGGAATAATTTTAAGCTTGTTTTATTTGTAGACTTGGAAATGAGATCAATGGCTTTTTATCTTCTCAATAAACAACCATGATCCGTTGTTTAGGCTTCTGAAAAATCTAAAATTCACACCTCAAAATTGATCTCACTACAAGATGTGAGTCATGGGACTTGACTACATGTGCTGCACAATGAAAACAAAACTCTATTGTCTGAGAATTCTGCCCTGTTAGACTTCTAAAATGTGTACTCATTTATATTCCTTGAAGTCATAAACATCTGAAAATAGGGGGCTTAGTGATTCATTTTCTCTAACTTTAGCATTGTTAGGATTTAGCATTCCCAACTGTACATTCTCAACTCTACAGAAAGTTATTTCTAACTCTGGCAATCACTCTACCTCCTCTTTATTCTCCCAATGGTCACCCTCCAGGCAGAGGAATACAAGGCAAGTTGGTTGCTAAATCGCTTCACAAGATTGAGCCATGAATTTGGAGAACATCAAAACATCTTAACCTTTCCCCTGTGTAGTAGACCAGTTTGTTAGACACTTGGGTTTATGTAGGAAATATGCAGATATGAAACTGAGAATTTTGGGCAATATTAAGTGACTTTTCAATGCCAGTGTGATAAAATTAATACCATAAAGAGTGAAGAAATCATTGAAGGTTGCTGAGCAGGTGAATGTCATTTTTTTGGAAACTTATCTGTCAGCAAGCACAGGATGGAATGGACAAGGGGGAGACTTTGGCAGGGGAGAAGCTTGGGGCCAAACAGAGGACTCGAGTTCATTTCTGCTATGTCTTAGCCTTCAGGCATTGGAGAGAATTGAGAAGAAAGAGAAACCATTCAGCTGCTCCATGGGACTCAGTTGCCAGCTTTTCTCTGCCTAATCCTTCAGCCCCTCTGGCCCTAGAGACTGATTGCTACCTTCTCTCAAATATTCCTACCCCTGTCCAAAAGGTGTTTTGCAATCATTGGTGATTGTTCTGAAAATGAAAGAGGCAAGATTTTCCTGAGAATATGGGTGCCCAGGGATATCTCAAAGGGTTGTTAGAAGCTGGCTGCACACTGGGCCAATCAAGCTCTGCTCTGGGACGCACAGATGGACACGTTTACACTTCATGGGGAAAGAAGATGAAAGAGCACCCCCTGCTGGCTTGAGACTTTTCAGTAGCTCTTCAGCTCCCACCTCAGCGGGTGGTGGAGAGCAAGTGCCTTTCTTGCCAGCAGGTTTATTTGGAAAGTCCAGGCAGATCGGCACCCCAGACCTATCCCTGAAACGTGGGTTCAGGACCCCGGGCACACATCCTGAATCTAACTTTGCTAAATGGGGTCCTGTCATTCCACTTCTCAGAGCCTCAGTTTCTCCATGTGTGGAGTGAAAGTCATGGCCATCCCTGAATTGTCTACCTCTCAGAGCTGCAGTAAGGGTCCCATGAGGTGGCAGCTGTGAAAGCACTTGGTAAACTGTAAAGAGCTGTGCTCCAGGGCTGAGTCATCACTGTGGTTATTATACAAGAGGATCTTTACTGAGCTGAGCAATGCTGTGGACCCTGTAGTGCTTAAGAAAGAATTCCTGGTGCTGCTGCAGCATTTGAGGATTTGACTTATAACACAATACAATTAGAAAAAGAAACTGGGTAACTTTCACTGTGAAGTGAAGGTAACACAAGAGCCATCAGTGAGGGGACCTGGGAGCCATCAGTGAGGAGGGACCACTGCTGCTGGCTCTATCACCCCCGATCCCCTACTGACTCCACCACCCACTCACTCCCTCCTTTGGACATCTCTCTATTTATTCTTTGTTCCTCTTCATTTTTCCATTAACTGAGTTCATCTCACAGTCCACCCTCTGAACCTCTCAATTTTTTTCCATTTTACTGAAATGTTTTTATTCTCCACTTTTTTCTTGCTTACTAAACTCTCTCTTTTGCTTGCCATTGTCTGTCTCTCAATTTCACTCTCTCTCTCTGCCCCTCTCCCTTTCTCTGTTTCTAATCTCCCTTCTCTCTCTGTCTCTCTGTCTCTCTCTCTCTCACACACACTCGCATTCATTTTAAACCAATTCTTTCTGCTGCTCTGGTGAGAGGCTCAGGAAGGAGAGCCTCTCAGCCAGTGTTGCTAGGCAACGCAGCATCACATGGCCAGCCCCACATTTTCTGCCTGCTTCTCCTTCTGAGCTCTGCTATCTGACTCTGTATTACACTCAGACTGGGCAGGTCTGAGTAAAGAATAGGCCCATTGGTTCACTTATAGTTGGCCTAAGGTGTCACCTTTCCTCTGAGATATCTAAGTTGCTGGAAACAGAGAAGGAAAAAAAAAAAGCTAAGGAAATAACAACCATAACAAGATGACATTCGTTTCCACAAACAGCTCTCCAGAGCACGGGGTTCTTAACTTGGTATCATGAAACTCCTAGGTACACTATGGAGAGGGCACAGGGGCTGCAAAATTCTTGAAATGTCATGCAAAATCGAATGTTTATGCTTACTTGCATTTTTTTGTTGTAAGGGTTTATAGTTTTTATCAAATTCTCAAAGGGAGTAATGTTTTCCAGGAAGTTCTTATCAAGTTGTCTATGCTGAATATTTTGCATTGTTATCCCCACCCTCTGCATCTCCCACTTACCCTGCTCTGACCTGCATAGGTTGCTTCAATGGACTCCCTTGCCCTCTGGCTTCTAGTTGGGTTCAGCCAGTGGAAGGTACTGATAGGAAATCAAAGGGAAGAGTAGGAGGAGAGTGAGGACAGAGAATGTATTCCCCTGACCCACTTCCTTCCAGGAATTTGTTGTGCACCTCTACTGAGGAGCAGATCCTATCTGGCAGCACTCTCCATATAGCTACCAACTTCTTCTTGTTGAGACCTCCACGGGAGATCTCAAGACAGTTCCTTCTCATCTCATGTTGCCCAGGTGTCCAGGAGTTTAAGAGGGGCCTGGACTGCTGAATGGTTGTAGCCAGGAATTGTTTCTGCTAGATATTTGATCAATGGGCTCCTTGGCACATGGCTCTCTGTTGCTGGCCGCTGATGGAGTTTTCTCCAGCGAAGTTCAATGTTCCCTCCCTTCTGACTCCATTTCTTTCTCTGTGGTTTCTCCCTTCTTTCCTCCCCAGTCTGCAGAATCTGCGGCAGGAGAAGAAAACTAGGTTACAAATGCTTCCAAATCTTCTCTGTCTTACACCTGAACCTCTGGCTTTTGAAAACTCAAGAGCAAAGATTTTGGAACCTTTGTTTTCTGGTTACATTCTGACAACTTCCCCCAAAGCCATGGGTTACTCACGTCTAGCATCTTGGCTTGGGGGTGGTGGGAGGGAGGGTCTCAGGTAAAAGGAGTAAAGCATAGAAGAGTAAAATGTGCAGCTGAATGTCCCAACACCTTATGTTGTCACAACCACTTTATACTGGCTGTAGATGGATTGAAGATCCAGGATAATTTAGTCGTAGAAGCTCCCCTGCTTTTTTTTCTGAACTAGGAGTCTTTTTTGAATAAGACTGTGAGTGAAGAACAGTAGAAACAAACAAACAGGGTGGACAAAGAATTTTCTGGACTCTTCATATGTGTGAAAGGGTCCCATTTGTAATTAAGGACACCATTTGGGAAGTCCTTTATAACCCATCAGACACAATGATAAGACTTAGAGATCCCACTTTTCCAGGTCAATTGCATATTTTCACTTTCCCTTTTTCTGTTTTCAAATCTTACTGGTCATTCTAAAGATACTAGAGTAGAGCTTGCAGCTGCTAGTCATGTTCACCTAGACTAAGATATCGTCCTGATGGACAATGCTGAGCTGGATACTGAAGTCCCTTGGGATTTTGCTGAGAAGGGCGGGGAATTACAGAACCAAAACAGTATGGCATTGTATGCAGAGAGTCCATGTCTCAGGAAGGATGTTTTCTTTCATTTATTGCCTTTGTGCACCCAGACTTGATTATAGGCTCCCTGGTGGTTTCACCTTGTGAACCATCTGGCTTACCAAAAATGTCTGAATAATTCTGGAATGAGAGGAAGCACTTACCCATCTCTTATCATTAATTGGTTAAGGATAGTAATCAGTATGGAAGGATTTTTTCCCCATTATTTCTATTTGTACAAACAGCCCAGCTGGTGATATATGTGTTTGTGTAGGGGCAGGGGTTGGGGTAGGAGCAGGTTGAATGAGTACATCAGTTCCCTGTGAAATTGCTTACGTCACAAGTAGATGATTGAGTCATTTGGGTCCTTCAGAAATCAGACACTGGGTCAGAGATGTAGGAACACAAAAGGTTTACTGGGGAGCATCTGTGAAAAATAAAAGGGAGATGAAGCATGATTGGGCTAGGAGAGCCTCATATCTCAATGCTTATCTGACAAAGTCTCACCCAATCTAACAGAGAGCTCTGGAGTAAAAATTTCCCATTAGAAGAATTCTGAGCTGGGCAGAAATGGCTAGGCCTTTGCGAGTCCTTGGCTCTGGCCTGTCCAAGAAGAGTGTGGTCTCATTTTAGAAAGTGAGATAGATCCTAAAAGTGAAGCTGGAGGCTGTGATCTCACTGCCCTCTTTGCAGCTGAACTGGAAGTTCTTGCTTAAAGGGAGACTCTAATGGTAGACCTCAATGGTTGCCACAATGATCTGCTGAGTTTAGCAGCAGAAGTGTGACTTGGGTCACAGAATGATGTTTGTTCTATAAACCTGCCATCCACAAAATTGGCTGGAGCCTCAGGGACACTCAAAGCCAATAGAGATAATTTCTTTTTAAGTATTCAAATCCACAGTGAATCTAAGTGTTTCCACGGAAGCTTTCATCCTAACCATCTATCCCACGACACACTAGGGCCTTGGGGCTCTAGGAATGCTCAGAGAAAAATTTTCCTAATAACCTGGTTCCTTAGAAGGCCATCTCTCAACCTCTGAGAGGCTTTGCTTTTGCTTATTTTGTTTCAGGGTTACCAGAGTCTATTGCATATATTTGAAGCAAAGGCCCTTCCAGGGCCTATGCCTACCTTCTACCTGCAACTTAATATATCTAGCGTCACTTAAGTTCATCTATTTCTAGGGTACAGTCATTTGTGCAGGTCATTTTTCATAGTCAAATTGACTGCTAGCCTGGCATAGAAGAATTTGATCGACTCATTCTACTTGGTGTATGAAGAGTGGGAGTACACTTTGGGTTAATATTATTGATGATACCTAATAATTATTGGGCACTTATTTGCCAGTTACTGTGTTAAGGGACTTACATGATTTTTCTCATTTATTCCTTAAATACCAACAAATATGGTATGCATAATTTATTATCCTTGTTTTACTTATGAGAAACTAGAGACATGAGAGATTAAATAACTTGCCCTAATTAATATCATTAAGTAAGAGGGGGAGCTGAGATTCAAGCCCAGGAAGTCTGGCTCCAGAATCCATGGTCTTAATCACTACACTGTGACACAGGCTGCCTCCTCTGATGCAGAGTCTGTATGTCATCTCAGCTATATGGACTGTGTCTCCATCTTAGAAGATGCAGGAAATAGTAAAGGACAAAGAGAAGATAATTCAGATGAAAGTCATTAGACTTAGAAGCTCAATTCTGATTCTACCCAGGTATAAAGATAGTTGGGTATCCATAGAAGTGGAGGTGGCTGTGGCAGCCAGGCAAACTAGTCAGAGAATGGCATGGTGGGAGTAGGTACAGGTAAAGGATTGCCCAGGAAGTTGTATACCTTAACCAACAAGGACACTTGTTACAAGGTACAATTGAGCATTTCAGGTCATTTTACTCCCTTATGGCTAGAAATAATGTCATGTAGACAATAATCAGCAGTGTGACAGGGGTCCTGGGAGCCTTGTTATACATAAAACTATGGTAGAATCCCAGTTCTAGCCAAGCCAAGAGTCAAGTCTAGGGGAGTTAAGAAAAGTAAGGAAATGCAACCAGGCACTATATGTCCAAGCTGATTGGCAGGTAGAATTCAGATACCAGAAAGTCAGAGTCCACAAGCAACCCACACCAGTACATAGGTCAGATGCTGATATATGATGGAAGTTTTTTGGGCTCTGCTTGAATTCTGCCTTTTGTATCAAGCTTTCTGATGCTAGTAGTTGTGAATTGTAGTTAGAAGGTGAGAAGCCCGCTGGCAATTCCCATCCCTGAATATGAAAAGAGGAACCAGTATTCTCTCATGCCCAGAAGTTGTGAGATTCTCAATGCTACTTGCAGTTTATTCATGTTTTACATATATCTGCTATGATTTTAGTCATATTATGCAGAAAAAATAAGCAATTACAGCACCATTAAATTTTAAATTACTCAGAAACTTAGCTGCCATACCACTGTCAATACTGGTCTTGGTTTTCAGTGAATTAATCCTTCACAAGAAGTATTTAAAAGTTACAATTCTGGCCGGGCGCAGTGGCTCACGCCTGTAATCCTAGCATTTTGGGAGGCTGAGGTGGGCAGATCACTTGAGCTCAGGAGTTCGAGACCAACCTGGCTAACATGGCAAAACCCTGTCTCTACTAAAAATACAAAAATTAGCTGGGTGTGGTGGCAGGCGCCTGCAATCCCAGCTACTTGGGAGGCTGAGGCAGGAGAATCGCTTGAACCCAGGAGGTAGAGGTTGCAGTGAGCCAAGATCATGCCACTGCACTCCAGCCTGGGTGACAGAGTGAGACTCCATCTTGAAAAAAAAAAAAAAACCTAAAAAAAAATTGCAATTTTAAGTTTACTAAAATCAGACTCACAAGTTTAAGAAGTTGAGTAATAGAGTCAAGTAGAAAAATGAAATTTCTCCGAATGCAATTTTAAGAAAACAAAGGCTTTAAGCGGAAATCAGAGAGAAATAGATTTTTGTGAGAAATAAAATTTGCTGCAAAACATAATTTGAATGGGAAAGTGCAAGTTAAGTGCTGTTTAACTTGGAGCAAGAATTTAGATACATGTGGAGAAACAACATCCCTCAAACCATATTCTTCCCAGAAAATAAAACTAAATCTAGCCTCCCTAGTTGTTCTCTGTCTAACTTGGACTTGATGAACATAACTATCAGAAAAATCAGATAAAAAACCTGGGTCTTGTGTTTTGGGGGAAAATGATACCAAATAACAGATTCTGTCGACTTCTTACTGAATATCTTTTTCTTCCACTCTTTGTCTTTCTCCTTCTTTTCCTTTTCTCCAGCCTTCCCTACTTCAATCCTTCGCTTTCTGGTAATGAATCTCAGAGTAGTTAATACATTGCATTCCAAATTGCTTTTGGCTTCCTGGTAGTGCTTGCTTTTAGGGGACATTTTTCTTTCCAAGTATGTGTAGTCAGGAAACATTTTTAGAAGAGTAGATTAGAGGTTGGGAAAAAAAAAACCCAGTCCAACAGTGTTCTATTCTCATTTGCTCTATTTAAGAATCATTAGTACTTGTTAAACACTTTGTGCTTCTCTCACTGAGCCTGGACTTTTCCCTGCCATAGCCCCATTCTTCTTCTCATTTTCTACTGGATGATGAGCTCCTTGAGGGCAAAGCCTGTATCTTATTCATCTCCATGTTGCCAACCTCTAAGTCAGAAGTAAATCTTCAACAAAGTATTGTTGAATTAATATCCCACTCCTGCTTTGCAACAGTATTTCTGTCTCTGAAGTGGTCAAGAAGTCAACTTTCATTAATTAATTAATTTAAAATATTCATTTTTGGATCGTTACTATGCTAAAGATTCTGCTCTGACGAAGTATATAGGGAGTAACAAAAGTCAAATAGACAAGCTATTGCAATATTGTAAGAGGACATATTGCAATATGCTGGGAGGACGTAGGCACAGAATCTAACTAGGTAAATAGTGTCAGGGAATGTTTCTTACAGGTAATATTTGATCTGAGTCTTGAAGAATATGTAGAATTTGGTTACCAGGTAAAACAAGAGGGTGGTGAGCAGGGACAGGAGCAAGTGTAAATGCACAAAAGCAGGAGAAGGCGTAGAAGGTTCAGGAAATTCAAGATGACTTGAATTTATATATATAGTATGGAATGGAAAGATGAAGCTTGAGAAGTAGTGAAGAAGTAGTGAAGGCCCAAATAACACAGCACATTATATGTCAGCTTGAGGGGATTAAACTTTATTATGTGTCCAATAGATAGCAACAGCAGTTTGTAACTTATGACTCTGGTAGCAGTATGAAGGATAGACCAGGGAAAGCTGGATTTGTTGCAGAGAACTGGGTGGGAGGCTATTGCAGTAGTTCAGGTGAAAAAATGATGACTTGAACAAGGGTAGTGGGAATGAATATGGAAATGAGGAAATGGGCCCAAATGATACATAGAAGGTCGAACTAAAAAGAATCACATAAATATGGAAGGGTGAGAGTGGTAGAGAGTCATGAACAACACTGAAATGATGGTGCCAAATACTTGAAGTAGAAGGAGAAACAGACACAGGCAGGGGAAAGATGAATACAGTTTGGACACGAGTTTGAAGAACATGTAGTATATCGAAGTCAAAATGGTCAAAACCTCCTTTAAGAGGTTGAATAGGAGAGATGGGGGTTCAGGAAAGTATTGTTGATATGGATTTGCATGTCATCAGCACAGAAGTGATACTTGGAATAGTAATATATGAGATCAGCCGGGGAGTGACAAAATAAGAGAGGCCAGGAGAGAGCATTGACAAGTACTAATGTTTAAGGAAGAGAGGTTCTGAAGGAGACTGAGCTGCACCAGCCAAAGAGGCTGTTAACTTTTAAAATCAAAGGCTATAAGGTTTCTGGAATTGGAAAATGACCCCAAGCTTCTGCCTTCTGTGGTCCCTTGCCACTCTGATTTTAGCTCCTGGAGATAAACTTTTTTTAAATTTCTTGCAAGGTCAGCTATGCATTCATAAGGAAATTTGCTGTAATTTATCTAGCTTCATAGTTTGTGGAGCAAGAAAGCATTTCAGAATACTCACTCCACCACAGTGACGGGAATATTCCACTGTATTACTTTTAAAATTAAAAGCATTGGTTACAACTTGATAAAGGGAATTGATGAAAAAAACTTAAAGCTAACATCATACTTAATAGTGAAATACTGAATGCTTTTCCCCTAAGATCAAGAACAAGACTGCTCTCACCTTTCCCATTCAATGTTGCACCAAAGATTCTAGTCAGTGCAATCAATTCAAAAAAACGGAGAAATAAAAAGCATCCATATTAGAAAGGAAGGGATAAAACTCATTTTTTTGCAGATAACATGCTCATCTATGTAGGAAATCCTGTGATTTCTATAACAAACAGTAGAACTAATAAGTGAGTTTGGCAACATTGCAGGATACAAGATCAATATACAAAAATCTATTAAATTTCTATATACTAGCAATGAGCAATTGGAAATTGAAAGGAAATATTCTCAGTCACAATATCATAAAATATGAAATATTGAGGAATCAATCTATCAAAGAATATGGATGATCTATGCAATTAAAACTAATAAACATCACTGATGGAAATTAAAGAAGATTTAAATAAATGTAGATATATGTCTTGTTCATGGACTGAACTCAATATTAAGATGTCAGTTCTCCCCAGATTGATCTGTAGATTCAGTACAATCTCAATCAAAGTTCTAGCAGGCATTTTTTGTAGACATGGACAAACTAATTTTAAAGTTCCCATGGAAATGCAGATGACCCAGAATAACCAAAAGAACTTTCAAAAACAACAAATTTGGAAGACTTACTCTAGCTTATTTAAAGAGGTACTATATAGCCATAGTATTGGCATAAAGATAGACAAGTAGAACAGAACAGAGAGTCCAGAAATAGACGCCTATGTGTGTGGTCAATTGATTTTTGACAAAAGTGCAAAGTCAAGTCAGTGGAGAAAATATGATCTTTTTAACCTAACAATGCTAAAACAATTTGGATAGTTATATGCAAAAACAATAGCAACAATATCAATAAACAAAACCCAAAACCAACCAAATAAACAAAACTTTGATCCATACCTTGCACATATAAAAATTCTGTAAAAGTGGATCATAGACCTAAACATAGAAATGAAAACTATATAATTTCTAGAAAAAAATCGGAGAAAGTCTTGAGACCTTGGGTTAAGCAAAGATTTCTTTGAGAGGGCAGAAAAAAGCAAGATCCATAAAAGAAAAATTTGATAAATTAGACATAATCAAAATTGGAAACTTTTGCAGTTTGAAAAACAGTGCTAAGAGAAGAAAAAACAAGCCATAGGCTTAGAAAAAATTTTTGCAAATTACATATCTGATAAGGGACTAGTATCCAGCATATGTAAAGTAATTTTCTAATTCAATGATAAGAAGACAACCCAATACATAAAATGGGCAGAGGATTTGAACAGACACTTCACCAGAGAAGATATATTGATGGCAAATAAGCACATGAAAAGACGCTCAATATCATTATTTATTAATGAAAAGCAAATTAGAACCTCAATAAGATACAACTACCCCATCACTAGAATGGCTAAAATTAAAGACACCAACTATTACAAGTATTGGCAATGATGTACAGAAACTGGAACATTACACACTGATGTTGGAAATGTAAAATGGTGCAACCACTTTGGAGAATACTTTGACAGTTTCTTGTAACAAAATTTGTAACAAATGTTAAGAGTAACTTTATTTGAAATAGCCCCCAACTGGAAAAAAACCCAAATGTTCATCAACAGGTGAATTAATAAACAAATAGTGGTACATACACACAATATTATTCAGCAATAAAAATGAACTAGTGATACATATTATATCATGGATGAATCTCAAAATAATTATGCTGACTGAAAGAAGCTAAACAAAGAAAAGTACACACTGTATGATTCAATTTATATAAAATTCTATAAAATGCGAAGTAGTCTATAGTGACAGTGCAGATCAATTTTTGTCTGGGAGTTGGAGATTGGGAAGGGATGGGAAATAATGGTTGCAAGGGAATGAGGCAATGTTCTGGGGTGATGAATATGTTCACTATCTTCTTTAGGGTGATGGTTTCACAAATATGTACAAAACTTAAATTGTATACTTTAATTGTGTTCACTTATTTGTATGTCAATTATACCTCAGCTTCTGAAAGAAGTTGATTAAAAAATATAAACATTAAAAAACATGAAACAGTCTGTGTCTTGTTTGAAGACACAGACTGGCTACCTGAATCACAAACTTAAAATTTAGAGTAGTCATCAATTTATCTTAGTTTTCCAAATGCGTGTGACCTTCTATAAATCCACCCCAGCAATTCTGCTTCTGTAGGGCCTTCTACATTTACTTTTTTCTCTGTTTCTCTGAAACTATAATCCTTTAATAAGTTTCTGGCAGCGATATTTAATTTACCTGTAAAACAACATTAGAAAAAGAATGAAGTAAATTACTGTACAGGATGGATGTAGGCATAAACTGTAGCATTTTTGTTTTGAAATGTAATATCAGAACTCCAAGTGAAAACTGGTTTAATGCTGCAGATAAAATGACCAGAGATGTATAAATTGGATGACTCCTTTTATGAACACAATCTTAAAATAAGACCTGTTTTTACTCTTAGAAACTCACTTTCATTTGGTCTATTTTAATCCTACTAACTTATTTTAAAGCTCACAACATATCTACTCTGCTTTAAGTACTATAGTGGCCTTTGGCCAAAAGCAATACAGTGTTCATGTGATCAGAATATTAGGAAAAGGTTCCAACAGAGAAAATAGATGAACATCAGAGCTGTCAGAGATGCTCAGTAAGAGTGGACTCAATGACAGAGTCCTTTCCTTCTCTGAGTCATGAGGATTCTATGATATACTATATGGGTTCTCAACCTAGAGTAAAATCATCTCTTGAAAATACAGGCAAAATTGCACATATATGAAGATTTTTTCTGGAGAGAAGGTTCAAACTTTTCATTTCTTTGTTTACTTTCTTTGTAATCTGTGCACAGGTCATTCTCTGTCTTCCAGTTCCAAATCATTTATAGACTTACCCTTTTCTGAATGTAGGGTAGGACATGGGCTTCCTATTTGAAGACACAGCTGGGGCACTGGATTTGAAATTGGCAGCCTTGTGTCTGGTTCTGATTCTGCCACATACTATGTGTGTGACATTAGTCAAGCTGCCTTCTTATCTTTTGGCCTGTTTCACTGTATCTTCAAATTAAGAGATTGGATTAGAAGGATGCTTAACAGCCCTTTCATTTCCAACTTCCTAGGGTTCTCTGTACTAGGAAGCTCTTGATTTTATGTCGCCTTCTCCAGGTCTTTGGTGTTTCCCTCATTTGCCAAGGCCCTGCATCAGGGTTATATATTTCTCCAGCTAATGGCTTCTAGTCTTGGTGTGTACCATTGCCCTGCATGGCAAAGACAAGGCTTTAACAATGACAAGAACTGTTGCCTTTCCTCCTGAGGCTTTCGGGTTCTGAGGCATCTTGTCTCCTTCACATTCTTTGACAGAGGCTAAAACTTGGATCCCATGGTGGCATGCCCCACTCCTATATCCCAACTATCTGGATTTGATCAAACACCATTTATCAAGTTGTGACCACTCTTGTCATAGACCATCAGGGCAATAAGAACCCATAGAAATCACCTAGTCCATCACTCTTCTCACCATCACCTCTTTGTTTTCTAGATATGTGTGAGAAAGAGGAGGGAAGGGACTTGCAGAAAGTCATACATGAAGTTCATAAATCAGGATTAAAACCTAGGAATTCTGACTCCACATTCAGTGCTCTTTCCACGGAACCTTTTTTTTTCTTTTTTTGGTCAATTATATTGCCAGGCATAATGCCTTGTTTTATCTGGCTATTCATTCATTCCATTCATTCTTTCATTAAAAGTCATCACGAATGCCTACTATGTGCCAGTCACTATGCTCATTGCTGGAGAAAATGCTTCCAGGAGCAAGTCAGCTCTGTCCTTAGGCACTTCCAGGCTGTAGACTATGTGTTATTTCTTACAGCACTGATTTGGGCTAAATGCAACAGAACAGGTGGTCTTATAAGGCCCTACTCAATCTGGCACCCCATCACCTGTGCCCTCACCTCCTACTGTGCTCCCCTTGGCTCACTCAGCTCCAGCCATGCTGGCTTCCTTGCCATTCCCTGAACGTGCCAGGCATGCTCCCGTCTCAGAGCTTTGACATTGGCTGGTTCCTCTACCTTGATCATTCCTCTGCCAGACAATGAAGGAGGAGTCAGTGCAAACTCCCTCACCTCCTTCAAGTTTCTTTTCCAATGTCAGCTTCTCAATGAGACTTACCTTGACTCAAAGTTATGGATCCCCCGCCCCCACAAACACTCCTAATCCTGCTTATTCTGCTTTCTGTTATTGTTTTCATGGCATATATTACCTTTAAACATGCTAAAGAATTGAATTATAATATTTCTCATTTATTGTCTGTCTTCTCCTTCTGGGAGGAAAGTTCCCACAGGGCAGTGACCTTTGTTTTGTTCCCTCCTGCATCTCAAGCATCTAGGACAGTGCTCAGCACAAAGCAGGTGCTCCATAAACATTTGGTAAATGAATGAATGGATTGTAGTTTAAGGATTTTCAAGGGTAGTTTGACTATACTTGATTTTCAGATTCTGCGTGGCCTTATTTTCTCCTTTAGGGCCTCAGATGTACAAAACTAAATTGATCAGACTCCACTGTTCAAGGCACACCAACATCATTGAATGGTGGAAGACCTCTTTTTGCTTTATTTTCTTTTATTGTTTTCCATTTCATTTCCCGTTCCTTCTACACTTCCTTTTCTTGGGCCCACCCATGAATATTTAGGGAGTGTCCGTTCAATCCAACTAATATGTGAATATTTAGAGGCATGTGTGTCTTTGAAAAATCAGAGTATTGCACGTGTTTAATTTAAAAATTGCATAACGTTTTAAATGCATATCTTTCTTGCCCCTTTTATGCAACATTATGTTTATGAGAGCTACCTTTTGCTGCATGTAAAATTAATTCCTTATTTCTGACTGTTGTGTACTACTTCACGTACCTAATGATGGACATTGTAGATACTCCACTCCTTGCTCCCCACAGCATCACTTCAGTAAACATTCTTTTATGTATCTCCTTTTGTATTTCAGTAAGCTTCTCTTGGGATATAATCCCAGGCATGAGGCTGCCTTTCTTTTTTTTTTTTTTTTTAATCTTTATTTTTATTTTTATTTTTTATTTATTTATTTTTATTATACTTTAAGTTTTAGGGTACATGTGCACATTCTGCAGGTTAGTTACATATGTATACATGTGAGGCTGTCTTTCTTATCTTTTGCCCATTTTCCTACTGGAATGTCTGTCTTATACTTGTGATTTAGAAGAAATTTCTTGCTCATCCTAGATATTACTTTTTTGCTAGCTTTAGACATTGCAAATATCTTTCTCACCCTCCTGTTAACTTTGTCTATGGTGTCCATTGTTGAAAAGAAGACTTTAATTTTGGTATAGTCAAATCCATTGTCTTTTCACCTTACTGTTTGTGCTTTTGGAGGTTTATTTAAGAATTCTTTTCGTGTCGTGAGGTCTCCAAATTCTTAGCTTGCTTTTATTATCTTTATAGATTCACTTTTCACCTTTATATCTTTAATCCATGAAAAGTTTATTTTTGTACATAGTGTAAATAGATAAACAAATTTCTATTTCTCCATACAATGAGCCAATTTTACCCATGCTATTTACTAAGTGATTTCTCTTCCCCACATTAATTTATGATACCTCTATCATATACTCTATATGATATACCTCTATCATATACTAAGATCCCATAAATATACAGATGTGTTTCTGGGCTATTTTGTTCCATTGGATTACTTTTGAGTTACTGCTCTGCTACTACACTCCTTTTATTACTAGGGTTTTGCAATAATTATTAATACCTAGTAGCTTTGTGTAGTGCTTAAAGAAGGTGCTTTCTGATTATTTTCAAAATCAGTTTAAAGAGTGTGGCATACATATATATTTCTAATATTTTTGCAAGCATTTACTGCTTTACATAATCACTTGAAAAACATTTCTTTTTAAACCTCAGATCTACAAATGTAGCAGTGAAGCAATGCAATTGGAATCTCCCCTGGAATAGAGTGACAGCAGTTGTATGTAAGAAATACTCTCAAACTGAAGGCATGCCAGTTTGGTTACTTTTTCATCAGATTCCAGTAAACAAACTACTTTCTCTGCAACCAGTGGTTGTCAGGAATTCCTGCTATGCTGGTATTGTTACCTCCAAAGTAAAATGGTAGGGCTTTCTTTTCTTCAGTCAGCTCCTTTTTAACATATAACAGCTGCTGATCCATCTTGTTTAAACATCTTGTATAAATATATGACAAAGCAGTTCCCTTGTACATCCTACAGACTGGTCTGCTAACTTTCCACTGAGGGTCTGGAGCTCTGATATATTACCTGTGGAGCTTTCTGAATATATGTGAACTGTCATGTTAGAAAATTAGGTTTTTTTTCTATCACAAACAACTAAACTGTAAATTTAGTAACCCTGATAAATTTTTCCCTTTAAATCTTAGGCCACGAGTCTTTTATTTTTTTTTATTTTTATTTTTTATTATTATACTTCAAGTTCCAGGATACACGAGCACAATGTGCAGGCCCGCAACACGTGTATACATGTACCATGTTGGTGCACTGCACCCACCAACCCGTCACCTAGCATTAGGTATATCTCCTAATGCTATCCCTCCCCCCTCCCCCACCCCACAACAGTCCCCGGTGTGTGATGTTCCCCTTCCTGTGTCCATGTGTTCTCATTGTTCAATTCCCACCTATGAGTGAGAACATGTGGTGCTTGGTTTTTTGTCCTTGCGATAGTTTGCTGAGAATGATGGTTTCCAGCTTCATCCATGTCCCTACAAAGGACATGAACTCATCCTTTTTTATGGCTGTATAGTATTCCATGGTGTATATGTGCCACATTTTCTTATTCCAGTCTATCATTGTTGGACATTTGGCTTGGTTCCAAGTCCTTGCTATTGTGAATAGTGCCGCAATAAACATATGTGTGCATGTGTCTTTATAGCAGCATGATTTATAATGCTTTGGGTATATACCCAGTAATGGGATTGCTGGGTCCAATGGTATTTCTAGTTCTAGATCCTTGAGGAATTGCCACACCAACTTCCACAATGGTTGAACTAGTTTACAGTCCCACCAACAGTGTAAAAGTGTTCCTATTTCTCCACATCCTCTCCAGCACCTGTTGTTTCCTGACTTTTTAATGATTGCCATTCTAACTGGTGTGAGATGGTATCTCATTGCGGTTATGATTTGCATTTCTCTGATGGCCAGTGATGCTGAGCATTTTTTCATGTGTTTTTTGGCTGCATAAGTGTCTTCTTTTGAGAAGTGTCTGTTCATATCCTTCGCCCACTTTTTGATGGGATTGTTTGTTTTTTTTTTCTTGTAAATTTGTTTGAGTTCATTGTAGATTCTGGATATTAGCCCTTTGTCAGATGGATAGATTGCAAGAATTTTCTCCCATTCTGTAGGTTGCCTGTTCACTCTGATGGTGGTTTCTTTTGCTGTGCAGAAGCTCTTTAGTTTAATTAGATCCCATTTGTCAATTTTGTCTTTTGTTGCCATTGCTTTTGGTGTTTTAGACATGAAGTCCTTGCCCATGCCTATGTGCTGAATGGTATTGCCTAGGTCTTCTTCTAGGGTTTTTATGGTTTTAGGTCTAACACGTAAGTCTTTAATCCATCTTGAATTAATTTTTGTATAAGGTGTAAGGAAGGGATCCAGTTTCAGCTTTCTCCATATGGCTAGCCAGTTTTCCCAGCACCATTTATTAAATAGGGAATCCTTTCCCCATTGCTCGTTTTTGTCAGATTTGTCAAAGATCAGATAGCTGTATATATGCGGCATTATTTCTGAGGGCTCTGTTCTGTTCCATTGGTCTATATCTCTGTTTTGGTACCAGTACCATGCTGTTTTGGTTACTGTAGCCTTGTAGTATAGTTTGAAGTCAGGTAGTGTGATGCCTCCAGCTTTGTTCTTTTGGCTTAGGATTGACTTGGCAACACGGGCTCTTTTTTGGTTCCATATGAACTTTAAAGTAGTTTTTTCCAATTCTGTGAAGAAAGTCATTGGTAGCTTGATGGAGACGACATTGAATCTATAAATTACCTTGGGCAGTATGGCCATTTTCACGATATTGATTCTTCCTACCCATGAGCATGGAATGTTCTTCCATTTGTTTGTATCCTCTTTTATTTCGTTGAGCAGTGGTTTGTAGTTCTCCTTGAAGAGGTCCTTCACATCTCTTGTAAGTTGTATTCCTAGGTATTTTATTCTCTTTGAAGCAATTGTGAATGGGAGTTCGCTCATGATTTGGCTCTCTGTTTGTCTCTTACTGGTGTATAAGAATGCTTGTGATTTTTGCACATTGATTTTGTATACTGAGACTTTGCTGAAGTTGCCTATCAGCTTAAGGAGATATTGGGCTGAGATGATGGGGTTTTCTAGATATACAATCATGTCATCTGCAAACAGGGACAATTTGACTTCCTCTTTTCCTAATTGAATGCCCTTTATTTCCTTCTGCTGCCTGATTGCCCTGGCCAGAACTTCCAACACTATGTTGAATAGGAGTGGTGAGAGAGGGCATCCCTGTCTTATGCCAGTTTTCAAAGGGAATGCTTCCAGTTTTTTCCCATTCAGTATGATATTGGCTGTGAGTTTGTCATAGATAGCTCTTATTATTTTGAGATATGTCCCATCAATACCTAATTTATTGAGAGTTTTTAGCATGAAGGGCTGTTGAATTTTGTCAAAAGCCTTTTCTGCATCTATTGAGATAATCATGTGGTTTTTGTCTTTGGTTCTGTTTATATGCTGGATTACGTTTATTGATTTTCGTATGTTGAAGGGCAGCCTTGCATCGCAGAGATGAAGCCCCCTTGATCATGGTGGATAAGCTTTTTGATGTGTTGCTGGATTCGGTTTGCCAGTATTTTATTGAGGATTTTTGCATCAATGGTCATCAATGATATTGGTCTAAAATTCTCTGTTTTTGTTGTGTCTCTGCCAGGCTTTGGTATCAGGATGATGGTGGCCTCATAAAATGAGTTAGGGAGGATTCCCTCTTTTTCTATTGATTGGAATAGTTTCAGAAGGAATGGTACCAGTTCCTCCTTGTACCTCTGGCAGAATTCGGCTGTGAATCCATCTGGTCCTGGACTTTTTTTGGTTGGCAAGAAATTAATTATTGCCTCAATTGCAGCGCCTGTTATTGGTCTATTCAGAGATTCAACTTCTTCCTGGTTTAGTCTTGGGAGAGTGTATGTGTTGAGGAATTTATCCATTTCTTCTAAATTTTCTAGTTTATTTGCATAGAGGTGTTTATACTATTCTCTGATGGTAGTTTGTATTTCTGTGGGATCGGTGGTGATATCCCCTTTGTCGTTTTTTATTGCGTCTATTTGATTCTTCTCTCTTTTCTTCTTTATTAGTCTTGCTAGCGGTCTGTCAATTTTGTTGATCTTTTCAAAAAACCAGCTCCTGGATTCACTGATTTTTTGAACGGTTTTTTGTGTCTTATTTCCTTCAGTTCTGCTCTGTTCTTAGTTATTTCTTGCCTTCTGCTAGCTTTTGAATGTGTTTGCTCTTGCTTCTCTAGTTCTTTTAATTGTGATGTTAGGGTGTCAATTTTAGATCTTTCCTGCTTTCTCTTGTGGGCCTTTAGTGCTATAAATTTCCCTCTACACACTGCTTTGAATGTGTCCCAGAGATTCTGGTATGTTGTGTCTTTGTTCTCGTTGGTTTCAAAGAGCATCTTTATTTCTGCCTTCATTTCGTTATGTACCCAGTAGTCATTCAGGAGCAGGTTGTTCAGTTTCCATGTAATTGAGTGGTTTTGAGTGAGTTTCTTAATCCTGAGTTCTGGTTTGATTGCACTGTGGTCTGAGAGACAGTTTGTTATCATTTCTGTTCTTTTACATTTGCTGAGGACTCTTTTACTTCCAACTATGTGGTCAATTTTGGAATAGGTGCGGTGTGGTGCTGAAAAGAATGTATATTCTGTTGATTTGGGGTGGGGAGTTCTATAGATGTCTATTAGGTCCACTTGGCGCAGAGCTGAGTTCAATTCCTGGATATCCTTGTTAACTTTCTGTCTTGTTGATCTGCCTAATGTTGACAGTGAGGTGTTAAAGTCTCCCGTTATTATTGTGTGGGAGTCTGAGTCTCTTTGTAGGTCACTAAGGACTTGCTTTATGAATCTGAGTGCTCCTGTATTGGGTGCATATATATTTAGGATAGTTAGTTCTTCTTGTTGAATTGATCCCTTTACCATTATGTAATGGCCTTCTTTGTCTCTTTTGATCTTTGTTGGTTTGAAGTCTGTTTTATCCAAGACTAGGATTGCAACCCCTGCCTTTTTTTGTTTTCCATTTGCTTGGTAGATTTTCCTCCATCCCTTTATTTTGAGCCTATATGTGTCTCTGCACATGAGATGGGTTTACTGAATACAGCTCACTGATGGGTCTTGACTCTTTATTCAATTTGCCAGTCTGTGTCTTTTAATTGGAGCATTTAGCCCATTTACATTTAAGGTTAGTATTGTTATGTGTGAATTTGATCCTGTCATCATGATGTTAGCTGGTTATTTTGCTCGTTAGTTGATGGAGTTTCTTCCTAGACTTGATGGTCTTTACAATTTGGCATGTTTTTTGCAGTGGCTGGTACCGGTTGTTCCTTTCCATGTTTAGTGCTTCCTTCAGGAGCTCTTTTAGGGCAGGCCTGGTGGTGACAAAATCTCTCAGCATTTGCTTGTCTGTAAAGGATTTTATTTCTCCTTCAGTTTTGAAGCTTAGTTTGGCTGGATACGAAATCCTGGGTTGAGAATTCTTTTCTTTTAGAATGTTGAATATTGGCCCCCACTCTCTTCTGGCTTGTAGAGTTTCTACCGAGAGATCAGCTGTTAGTCTGATGGGCTTCCCTTTGTGGGTAACCCGACCTTTCTCTCTGGTTGCCCTTAACACTTTCTCCTTCATTTCAACTTTGGTGAATCTGACAATTATGTGTCTTGGAGTTGCTCTTCTCGAGGAGTATCTTTGTGGCATTCTCTGTATTTCCTGAATTTGAGTGTTGACCTGCCTTGCTAGATTGGGGAAGTTCTCCTGGATAATATCCTTAAGAGTGTTTTCCAACTTGGTTCCATTCTCCCCATCACTTTCATGTACACCAATCAGACGTAGATTTGGTCTTTTCACACAGTCCCATATTTCTTGGAGGCTTTGTTCATTTCTTTTTATTCTTTTATCTCTAAACTTCTCTTCTTGCTTCATTTCATTCATTTCGTCTTCCATCGCTGATCCCCTTTCTTCCAGTTGATCGCATCGGTTACTGAGGCTTGTGCATTCATCACGTAGTTCTCGTGCCTTGGTTTTCCGCTCCATCAAGTCCTTTAAGGACTTCTCTGCATTGGTTATTCTAGTTATCCATTCGTCTAATTTTTTTTCAAAGTTTTTAACTTTTTTGCCATTGGTTCGAACTTCCTCCTTTAGCTCGGAGTAGTTTGATTTTCTGAAGCCTTCCTCTCTCAACTCGTCAAAGTCATTCTCCGTCCAGCTTTGTTCCGTTGCTGGTGAGGAGCTGCGTTCCTTTGGAGGAGGAGAGGCGCTCTGATTTTTAGAGTTTCTGGTTTTTCTGCTCTGTTTTTTCCCCATCTTTGTGGTTTTATCTACCTTTGGTCTTTGATGATGGGGACGTACAGATGGGTTTTTGGTGTGGATATCCTTTCTGTTTGTTAGTTTTCCTTCTAACAGTCGGGACCCTCAGCTGCAGGTCTGTTGGAGTTTACTGGAGGTCCACCCCAGACCCTGTTTGCCTGGGTATCAGCAGCGGTGGCTGCAGAACAGCAGATATTGGTGAACCACAAATGTTGCTGCCTGATCATTCCTCTGGAAGTTTTGTCTCAGAGGAGTACCAGGCCGTGTGTGGTGTCAGTCCGCCCCTACTGGGGTTGCCTCCCAGTTAGGCTACTCGGGGGTCAGGGACCCACTTGAGGAGGCAGTCTGCCCGTTCTCAGATCTCAAGCTGCGTGCTGGGAGAACCACTACTCTCTTCAAAGCTGTCAGACAGGGACATTTAAGACTGCAGAGGTTATTGCTGTCTTTGGTTTGTCTGTGCCCTGCCCCCAGAGGTGGAGCCTACAGAGGCAGGCAGGCCTCCTTGAGCTGTGGTGGGCTCCACCCAGTTCGAGCTTCCAGGCCGCTTTGTTTACCTACTCAAGCCTGAGCAATGGTGGTCACCCCTCCCCCAGCCTCACTGCCGCCTTGCAGTTTGATCTCAGACTGCTGTGCTAGCAATGAGCGAGGCTCCGTGGGCGTAGGACCCTCTGAGCCATGTGCGGGATATAATCTCCTGGTGTGCCATTTGTTAAGCCCATTGGAAGAGGGCAGTATTAGGATGGGAGTGACCCGATTTTCCAGGTGCCGTCTGTCACCCCTTTCTTTCACTAGGAAAGGGAATTCCCTGACCCCTTGCACTTCCCGGGTGAGGCGATGCCTTGCCCTGCTTTGGCTCATGCATGGTGCACTGCACCCACTGTCCGGCACTCCCCCATGAGATGAACCCGGTGCCTCAGTTGGAAATGCAGAAATCACCCATCTTTTGCATCGCTCACGCTGGGAGCTGTAGACTGGAGCTGTTCCTATTCGGCCATCTTGGCTCCACCCCATCGAGTCTTTTAACCAAAAGGTCTATTTGGGAATTATTCATATCTAGAGAAGATTGCAAATTTAATAAAAAGCAGATGGTAAATTTAAATAACTAGAGTACCCCAAATTACACAGGACTAGACTTATACCGTAATCTCTATTATTCCTTCTTGTGTGATTGAGTCCATTATCTGAGCAAGAAAACAAGCCTCAGGGATGAAAGCTTTCAGTAAGCAAAGAAGTTTAATTGTAGAAAAGGTCTGCAAGGCAGTCCAGGCTGTAAAAGGAGTAACAAGTATTTGAAGTGGGGGGAATAAAAACAAAAACTAGAAGATTAGAAGATTAACAAAACTAGAGGTTACTGAATTTACATTTAGTTTATGGTGGAAAACAACAATTTTCTCACATGATTATCATTTTTTAAAGGATTGCAACATATCTGCAGACACTGACATCACAAAAGGCAAGAGAGAATTGTTTTTCTTAGGGAGTCAGTAACTTTCAGGAAAGGCTTAAGGATTGGCTTCTTTTGGGGAAAGAAAACTAGGTAGGGTGACCCTGGTTTCTGTTTGTTTATCTCAGGGTGTAAAGTATCTGTTCCTCCTCATTATAGGATGTGAAGTATACAGTTGCAATAATAATCATTTCAGAGCAAAGTGACATTTCTGAATCCATATGACTAATAAGAGTTCCATAAATAAATAACAGAAAAAAGTGGATGAGAGAAAATCACCAAAGTAGTAATAGAATAAAACATCTCTAGGCTGAAGAAAAAAATATCAACCTTAAGTTTGAAAGAGTACCAGGCATCCAGTACAGCAAACGAAAATTAAAAATTTGTCAAAGTATATTAGCGTGAAATTCCAAAACAGTAGTGATAAAGAGCAGATTCTAAATGCATCCAAAGACGTGGTGAAACAGGTTACATTCAAAAGAACAAGATCTCCAAAATCTGAGGGAAAATTCTTTTTGACCTAGTACTCCATATCTTGAAAATGATCAGTTAAGTGTGAGGGTAGAATAGAGGCATTTTTAGATCATCAGGAATTTATAAAATTCAATCCCCATGCACCTTTTCTCAATATGTTCCTTGGGTATGTGTGTAAGAATGAGGTATAAACCTAGAAAGAGAATGACATGAGTATCAGAAAACATTCAGCCGAGGAGATCAATGAAGGGGAGTCCTGGGATGACAGTTGAGCAACTGGCCTAAAGAACACCCAGTCACCATGGATGCAGGAGGACAGAGGACTCAGAAAGGAGCATCTAGGAGTAAAGGGGATTCTGGAGATTTATCTGGATCCTTAGGAATGTGGATTATCCTAAGAAGGAGATGATAGAGGCAAACAAAGAAAACAAGAAATGCAAATAAAGCCTCCAGGAAGGCAAAAACGTTGTATTAGGAAAAGAATATAATACATTACTGAGATGTGCAGCAAGCAATATTGAATAGTTATAGTAATGTAATTACCATATATTGATTTTCAACTTTTAGAACCAACTATAGACAAAGCACTTTTAGATTTATAGAACAGAATCTAAATGTTATCAACCTTGACAACAAAAGAATACAAGTACAGAGGCAGAAATGGGTAGGGAGTAGAAGGTGTTAAAAATTATACATGACACTTGTTAAAGTTGGTAAGGCAGATCTTATTCGAGAGAGTAAGTGGTGATAGGTACAGGGACCACTGCAATGGAGTCTTGCAGTGGAGGACAGAGATTGGATTCGGACTCCAGCATGGACAAGTGGGGATTTATAATCAGGGAGCAGGGTGGGGGAGGGGGCATCAGTGGATAGAAAATTACTAAGAGGAAATATCAAGGATAAGGAGTTTCTGGCTAACCTGACTGACAGGATTATTGCTGAAGGCAGTTTCAGCTGACTAAAGATTTGGTCAAAGGAGAGAGTCTTTGACAAAGGAGAGAAGAAACAAAGGGAATAGGTAACGGTGTTATATCTTCATTTTACATGGAGAGTCAAGGGATTTTATAGCTCAAGGAATAAGAAATAGAAGTGCAAGTACAGGAATTCCTCATTATCTGAATCTAGCTCATTTCTGAAAACATATTGGAAAGCAAATATTCAGATTACAGCAGCATTTTTCATGATTTGACTGAAGAAAACCCATTGCATTTGCAGCCCATTCAAAAACCCCAACCCATTTTTCTAGATATTACTAAAATACCCTGAAACATTTATATAACAACCAACCAAAGATTTCTGCATAATACAAAACATTGTAAACACCATTTGCCTAATTATTTAACAGTTAGGGAATTCATTAGTGAGTATATTTGTGAGTAATAGGCAATACCACGGTAGAGTATTGGCTCTGAACTTGATTTTCTCTGTGCCCTTCAATGACGTGTACTGTAATATAAATAAACAATGTAATGGCACATTACAAATAATATCTAAATCGGACCCAGGTTTAGTAGTTCTCCTAGGAACCTGGCAGAAGTAAATGCTGGGACCCATTAAAAGCAAAACCATTAGGGTAATGGTGAGGATGATGATGAAAATAATGCCTAGCATATTTAGACAAGGTTCTAACCTCCTACAGGAGTAATTCACAACCTAAACATTTTGGCTGACATTACATGAGGATTCACTAGAGCAAGTTCTCACTTCAGAGACTAAATTTTGGATAGACATTTTTACAAGAGGTTATAGCCAATTATTGGATAGTGAGAGTTCAGATAGCTAGGTAAAGGCGACACATAAAGGAGGCAAAAATGGTCCGTAGTTGTATGGGGAAGTGGGGAGAAAGACTGTGTGGGGAGGTGATGCTACTGAGTTAAAGCCTTGTCTTCCAGAGATGTCAATAAATACCATTGAAAATGATAAAGCACCCAAGAGTAGTATAAGCAGATGGTTTAGAGATGTGGTTTGAGTCTCCAGAAGATAAAAATCAGAATCAGCTAAAAGACTTCAAAGGAGTACTTCTGGAGAGCAGGATTGGGGTCATGTAGGGAAATGTTACTTTGCATTATTATTCTTTATATTGTTTGATTTTCAAAAGCCCAGGCACGACTAAAATATCCTTCAAAGTTGCCTCATCCCACTCCTACCCACTTCACTTTCAATCTGAATCAGGCGTTCCTGTGAACCCTCAGCAATCCTGTATCTTCTATTTTATTGATGCATTCAATCTATTCTATTGGTGCATTCTACTGATGGATTCAACCAACTGCAGATCAAAAATATTTGAAAAAACTATCCATACTAACTACAATTCATAATTATATACTTATATGTAATATTTTGCATACATAATACCTGTGAAGCTCATTGTTCTTTCTTCAGTACCCAGTAGTAGGACTAGTATAGGAGGAACTCAAGACATATTTGTTTTGTGAATAAACAAATGAAACTCTGAGGCTCAGTTTCTCCATCTTTAAAATGGAAATGAAATGTTCTTCCATTGAATAATAATTATACGAATCTTGCATAAACAATGTACTGTCTGTTCAATTCTATGGAAACATCAAGACAGATGAATTTTCATGGGGAAATCCATTAAATTAATTGATTAGGAGGTCATTGGTGAATATGGAGAGTGGCATGGAAACTAGAGTGCAATTGCTTAGAAAGCAAGTGGTCAAGTAAAAGGAAGAGAGGGACAAGTCTGTATTTGGAGGAGTGACAGAACTGAGGCATTAAAAAAAATTCTGAGATGAAGAGACGTGCATCTGTTTGCAATTCTATTAGTAGAATGGGAGAGTGTAAAAGCCAACTGGACATTATGGTAAGTAAAATGATCCAGCCTGAAAAGGACCAATACTGCATGATTGTACTTATATGAGATGCCAGAGTAGTCAAGTTCATACACAGAATGAATGGTGGTTGCCTTGGGCTGAAGGGGCAGAGGAATGAGGAGTTAGGGTTTAATGGGAGTGGAGTTTCAGTTTTGCAAGATGAGAAAAAAGTTCTGGATGGTGGTGATGGTTGGACAACAATGTGAATGTACTCAATGTCACTGAACTGTATACTTAAAAATGGTTAAAACGGTCATTTTATGTTATAAAGTACGTATGAAATCTAAACTGAATTTAATTATATTTTTGATAATATATCATTTTCAAAAAGTTGAAAATACGACTGTACTACAAATATAGAATAAACACGTGTCAAATATTAAAAGAAAAAGACATTGAGATGTCTCCCTAATTTCCTAGAAATGGCTTTGATACATAAGGACAAACCCCTCTACTCTGTGACCACAGAGTGGAGCTGATGTGACCTTTGTCCCCTGGCCATAGCTTATTGGTCTAAGCATACACACCTGACACAATATGTGATCTTTCAAACTGGATAAAAAGCTTCTCTTCAGTGGGCTCTGAAAGAAACATGAGATTCAATAACAGAGTGCAACACAAAGGGGAGAGAGACATTCTTCTGTACTTTTCAAAAACGAACATTTAGTTCTATAGTTTTGAGAGCTCATAGAGGCAACAAATGGATTCCTCCTAAACCCAGAAGAATAGCACAAAAGAAAACCATTCCTAGCAAAATAGTAGCACTTGTAGGACCTTCTGTACCCAGCAGAGCAGTGCCTAATTGTCACTTGATGGGGTCTGCTGTTAGAGCTGTGCAAGGCTGTGCGGTTGGCCCTCTGCATCCATGGGTTCTGCATCTCTGGATTAAACCAATTGCAGATCAAAAATATATTTTTTAAAAGAATAGTTGCATCTGCATTGAATATGAACAGAGTTTTTCCTGTCATTATTCCCTAAGCAATGCAGTATAACAACTATTTACATAGCATTGACATTGTATCAAGTATTGTAAGTAATCTAGAGATGATTTAAAGCATACAGGAAGATGTGTGTAGGTTATGTGCAAACACTACACCATTTTACATACGGGACTTGAACATCTGTGGATTTGGGTATCTGAGGGAGTCCAGACGCCAATCCCTCACAATACTGAGGGAAGGCTGTATATACATTATCTAACAGCAGTAGCATGGGCTCTGGCAGAAGGGTGACAGACAGTGTTGGACTCTTGTGGCTAACAGAGCAGTGGAGTGGAGTGCTTATTGGAGCATCAGCATGGAGGGAACAGCATGGCCCAGGGGTGCAGCAGTCATTCCAGCAGGAGCAAATTGTTTGTGAGCACAGAAGAGACACCTAAAAATGCTTGAGGTGGACTTTGCAGGAAACATGTCAGTGAAATTTGAATTATTGCTGTCAGTGTGACTTTATTTGTCTTCGTAAACCAGAGAGGCCTACTAATGTGGTGCTATCTACTCTGTTTTGTGTTGCTGTAACAGAATACATGAGACTGGGTAATCTATAAAGAAAAGAGATTTATGTCTTACAGTTCTAGGGGCTGACAATTCCAAGATGAAGGGGCTGCGTCTTGTGAGGGCCTTCTTGCTGCATCATCCCATGTCAGAAGGGGGAGAGAGGGAGAGAGAGAGAGAGAGAGAGAGAGAGAGCGAGAGAGAGAGAGAGAGAGAGAGAGAGAGAGAGAGAGAGAGACTGAGACTCTTCTCTTCTATAAAAAGCCTATTCCTGAGATAATGACATTAATCTATTGATTAGGGCAGAGTTTTCATGACTTAATTACTTCTTAAAGGTCCCACCTCTTAATGCACTGGGGACCAAATTTCCAACACATAAACTTTGGGAGACACATTCAAACCATAGCAAGTGCTATGGACAGCATTATCTAAATGTGATCTTGGGAGCTCACTCTGGGGGTTGCTGGACAACCAGTTAGTTGGAACTAACCCTTCCATTCCTCCAGAGGGTGTATTTTTTCTAAGTTCAGCTTCTAATAGGACCAGCAGTTCCTCCTCTAGCAGGGGACTGACAACATCTCACATGCCCAAAGATCTCCCAGTGCTGAGCTATTGGCATTCCCAAACAACTCCTAGGAATAATTAGCACCTCAAAGTTGAAGTCTTAACCCCCAAGTACTTCAGAATGTAACTGAATTTGGAAATGAGGTCTTTAAAGGGGGTAATTAAGGTAAAATGAGGTCACTATGGTGGGCCCTAATCCAGTCTGATTGATGCCTTATAAGAAGAGAAGATTAGGGCACAGAGACACATAGAAGGAAGATCATGTGAAGACACAGGGAGAAGATGCCATCTACAAGCCAAAGAGAGAGCCCTCAGAAGGAACCAACCTTGCTGCCACCTTGATCTCAGACTTCTGGCCTCCAGAACTATGAGACAATACATTTTTGTGGCTTAAGCTCCCCAGTCTGTGGTACTTCGTTATGGCAGCACTACCAGACTAATATGCAGGGGAAACTAAATTTTCTTTTCTCATGTGCTTCTTGGCTATTAGAGTTCTGCTTTCTCTATAAAGCCTATTTCTGAACTCAGTGGTATTCAGCTTTGAGCATGCATCAGCATGCCCTCAAGGACTTGTTAAAACACAGACTGCTGGGCTCCACCCTGGAGTTTCTGACTCAGTAAGTCTGGTGTAGAGCCAGATAATTTGCACTTCTAACAAGTTTTCATAGGATGCTGATGCTGCTGGTCCATGTGATATTGTGGGATTGGTCCTGAGCTTTGAATGCACAAACAGGTGATAATCCATATGTGACTTAACTGGGAAGATAGTGATGACCATGAAGAAATGCACCTGGTATTACAGGTGCATTGAAAGGAGAACACGATAACAAGGGGCATGCTGAGTGCCCCTCCCCCCAAACTCCATTGGTGGTATTATGAATAGAAGCTGTCAGCAGCTGCTATGCTTGCTATCATCTAGGACTAACCCTAACCTTGTAGAAGGTGAGCCAGTGGGAGATAGGAGGGGCTGGTAGACACACTCAAAGGTGACTTGCAATGAGTCATGCTTTTGTATAACCCCTTCCCCTAGAGTGTGGACAGTACTCAAGACTTGCTTCTCAACAATGGAGTATGGCAAAGATGATGGGATATCATTTCTATGATTATGTTACAATATTTGGGGTTCCTTCCTTGCAGAGTGGAGAGACCTGCTGCCCTTGAAGAAGCAAACAGCCATGTTGTGAGCTGCCTAAGCCTCTAGGTCTTGAGGGAAGCTTACAGTTAAGAGCCAGCAAAAGCCAGGGCCCTCAGTCATGCCACACAAGGAAACGAATCCTGCCAGCAACTATGGGGGCTTGGAAGAGGATATTAAGCTTCAGTTGAGAATGCAGCCTGACTGACACCATCATTGCAGCCTTGTGAGACCCCAATCAGAGGACCCAGCTGAGCTGTACCCAGACTCCTAACCCACGGAAACTGAGAAAATAAATGTGTGCTATTTATAGCTGCTTCACTTGTGGAAATTTGTTACACAGCAATTGGAGACTAATACGGGGTGAGAGGGGGTGGGGGAAAAATAGAGGATAAATATAGCCAGTTGCTGTCCAACAAATAGGCTAGTAACTTTGCTCTAAGTGATTGCTTTGTTTCCAAGCCTGAGGCCAGCAGTTACTTCTAAGGAGGCCCCAGACTGACAGAAACTCGAGAACATCAGGCAGGGCCTAAGGTGGAGAATGATGAAGTAAATACCTTTTTGCACAGAATTAATTGGCAACTTTGAGCATTCTAACTTTAGCAGCACCACCTCAGCATCTCACCGCATTTGACATTCAGTGACTGAGGAACCCAGGAGCCAGTTTGCATGCAGGGCTTGTAAAAGATCATGGGCTAAAAACTACTGGTTTAAACAAAAGGACCTTCTAACTCTGGGATGCTAATTTAGTTGCCCTTATTCTTGAGTTGCAGTTCTTGCCACTACTTGGAGAAGACTCCCAGCAGGAGCTCTGGTGCCCAGTCTGATACGGCATCTATTGGTCACATAGGTTTGTGCACTCACAATTTTCCTATGAAATCTAATACACAGAGCTCATTGTTTGAATCTGCAGACCTAGTGAAATGTAAGTCATGGGAAAAGCCTGTAACAAATTGATTGTAATGCTGGCAGGGTAGAGGAGGGAGAACATGCTGCAGTGGCAGCACCAAAAAAAAAAAAAAAAAAAAGAAAAGAAAAAAGAGTTCCATCTCCATGCAAGTGCCTGCCTTCATTGAGGTGGATCTGAAGGCTGTTCCCAGCCTCTTTAGGGATTTTAATGACGCTCTTGTTCTTGTTTAGGACTGTTCCTCCTTGAGGACCTCCCTATGGGTTTGCTCAGGCTGCCGTAACAAAGTGCTACAGACAGGATAGCTTAAACAACTGAAATGCATTCTCTCGAAGTTCTGGAAGTTAGAAATCTGAGATCAAGGTGTGGGCAGGGTTGGTTTCTCCTGAGGCCTCTCTCTTTGCCTTGGAGATGGCCATCCTCTCCTCCCTGTGTCTTTATCTCCTCTCTGTGTATGTCTGTGTCGTAATCTCCTCTTCTTATAAGGACATTACTCAGATTACATTAATGCCTACCCTAATGACCTTACTGTAACTTGATCATCTCTGTAAAGACCCTATCTTCAAATATAGTCACATATTGAAGTACAGGGGTTAGGACTTCAATATAGGAATTTTGGAGGGACACAACTCAGTCCATAACAACTTCTAAATAGATATTTCAGACACAACATCTAGCTCAGTCAGAGACTGTGCTTGTCATCAGTGTAATGGTGATTGAGGGACACCATCTGGTACACAGAAATGATTACAAATTCCTTTAGGTCAGTGACAAGGATGTAACTGTATGAAGCTGGCTATACCAAACGTGGGGCTCCCCAGCACTCTCTCCATTAGAAGAATAGCATTTGGGCTTTCAACTGCTGACAAAACTAGCTCCTTGCCAATGGCACTACCTGTTAATGGGTTGAATTGTGTCCCTTTGCCAAATTCATATGTTCAAAAGTCCTAACTCCCAGGACCCCAGCATGTGACCTTATTTGAAAATAGAGTTGTTGCAGGTGTAATGAGTTATGTTAGGATAAGATCATACTACAGTAGGGTGGGTCACCAATCCAATATGACGGGTATCCTTATAAGAAGGGGAGATTTAGACACACACACACACATACACACACACACACACACACACACACACACACACACACGGAGAACATGATGTGAAGACAAAAGCAGAGATTGGGGTAATGCATCTACCAGTCGAAGAGTGGCCTGGAACAGATCCTTCCCTCAGAGACCTCAGACAGAATAAACCCTGCAGACTCCTTGATCTTGTACTTCTGGCCTCTAGAACTAGGAGACAATACATTTCTGCTGTTTAAGCCACCCGGCTGTGGTACTTTGTTACAGCAGTCCTGGCAAACTCACACACTATTAGATGGGTAAGATCCCATTCAATCTTTTGACAAGTTCAATTTGGGTGTTTCTCAGAGAAGTTGGGGTTCTGTATTAGTCAAGGCAATTAATGCTAGCTTCTGTATACACAATTCCCAATGTCAGTGGGTTAACACAGTACAAGTATTTTTTTTTCATATAGTGATGTCTGATGAGAGCCTGGTGGCTCTCTTGGTAGTTTTCTAAGTGATGACTCAGAAATCCAGGTTCCACAGTAACTAGGGCCTTTGAGAATTTTCCACTGGATCTCTTAATCTGACTGGTTGATAAGCACAGACACACACACACACACACACACACACACATACACACACACAGAAAGAGAGAGAGAAAGAGACAGAGACAGAGACAGAAAGAGAGATTATGGAGAAGGCATACCAGCCTTTTTTTTTTTTTTTTTTTTTGAGACGGAGTCTCTCTCTGTTGCCCAGGCTGGAGTGCAGTGGCACAATCTCGGCTCACTGCAAGCTCCACTTCCTGGGTTCACGCCATTCTCCTGCCTCAGCCTCCCAAATAGGTGGGACTACAGGCGCCCGCCACCACGCCCGGCTAATTTTTTGTGTTTTTAGTAGAGACGGGGTTTCACCGTGTTAGCCAGGATGGTCTCGATCTCCTGATCTTGTGATCCGCCTGCCTCGGCCTCCCAAAGTGCTGGGATTACAGGTGTGAGCCACTGTGCCTGGCAGGCATACCAGCTTCTAACTGCTTTGGGATTGTCAGATCCTGAGGAATGGAAATTAGCATTCCCAGTGTAAGATGTACTCATATCCTTGCTGCTTCAGTCTAACAAATGGTGTGACTACCACATGCCTTTAAGAACATTTGGGGACAGACAGAGGGGTATATAGAACCGTTTTGCAAATACCTACTTATTTTCTCCTTTTTGGGTTCACAGTTTAGCTACACTTCCCAGCCTCGCATACAAGTAAGTTTGTGCACACGGAGGAATCTCCATGTCTACCTGAAGTTCCAACTCCACTGGGACCTGAACTGTGTTCCTAGATCATCTACTTGGTGGTGTTTGTGTGACCTTAGACAAGTCTGTCTCATCTAGTCTTTGAGGCTTTCTTTCCCTACGTGTCCAGTGAGAGTTTTGGATGAGATGGTGGCCTTGGGAGGGAATAGGTTCTTTATCTAAGCAAAGGCGGGAACCCAGAGAGTGTCCAGTCATTTGTGTGAATTGAATTGTAGGTAATAAGGATGAGAGTGAGAGCAGACTCTAGACAAACAGAATGCTGGGAGGAAAGATGGTGGGGAAATTTATGGTAGATAACACCCACTACCTATGCATTGAGCCTTGCCCTTCTTTCAGTACTGTGTTTCATGCTATAGATTTAAAGAAAAAAGTCAAAAACATGCTTATCTCCTGTACTCCCCCACCCCATTCCTATTTCCACCATATTTTTTTGTTTTCAAAGTGTGTTTCATTTTCTATACACGATACGTATACCTGGTTGGGTGAGGACAAATCTCAGGTTGAACTTCCCTCCTGAGCCCACATCAGGCTCTGCCTCTCTGACTCTGTCAATCTCCATCTCTCTGTTTTTCTTTCTGTCTCTCCTTTGTTCTATTGTACCTTTCTCTGCTTTTGTTTGGGAATGCAGAAGCGTCAGTTTCCATAATGGATCTCAATAGACAAAATAGACAAAATACTAATTTCCATTCCTCAGGATCTGACAATAATGGTTCTCAATAGACAACACGAGTATTTTGAACATGGTTATAGCATTTGTTTGATTGTTATTCTCCAGAAATCAAAGTGAAAAACAAGGAAGGTAAAAATATCTTAGATACCCCCTGCAATCACATGGAATCTACTGTTATTTTTCTTTTGCTTGTCCTTTACAAAGGCACATCATCCCTGTAGTGTTTCAATCAATTAGTAACTTTTCTAATCATCAAATATTGCTGAAGAAAAAATATAATGACATTTAAGTGTCAGTTATCTTCATCATCATTTATTGTCAGTAATATGCAGAATTTCAGAGATGAATGAAAGTTGTCTGTGGGCATAGGGGTCCATACATTCCTTAGGAACTCACTCCTTTACATTGTGCAAGCTTGAGGGCTGGTGATGCAAGTGTTCATTTGTAAGCTTAGGTCAGATCATCAAGGAGACCCCAACAACCTGGCAGGTACTAACCGTGAAATCAAATGATCTGAGTTTTCCTTAGGGTTGCTGCTGCTGTTTCCATCTACATCCTTCCAAGATTATTCAGAGACTTTTGTCAGGTCTATATTGTGATCAGACTGCTATATTTCCCCAGTCCTCCTTCCTCCCTTTTGTTTTCACAGATACTACTTCACAAACTTTTTTTTATGCTCCTAATTCTATCCCACTGCCTGTTTCCCAAAGAACCCAAATTGGCACATGCATCATATTAAAGATCCCGGAAGTGGTTATAGGTAAGCTAAGGCTGCATGTCACCTTGCATTTGGGCAGCAGGTCCTTTCTTCAAAGGGGTTCTGAGTGGCGCATCTCCATATCTACCAAAACATGCTTAATGTTTAGTGTCACTTTTATAACAACACAGGGGTACTTTCTCCTTCTCATTTTTAAGAGTTGAACTTATGTCTCTGGACATATGGTCAACTAAACATTCCATAGAAGCTCTGTTGCTACAAAACACTCAGGATTGCTGTATAAAATACAATAAACCTCTTAGCTGGGTTCAGGAGAAAGTAACAAGCTAGTACCCAGGTTCCTGACTGGAGGTCAGCATGCACACTCAGAAGATCCATCAGGCCTGGCAGTGCCCCACTGCCAGTATCATAGAGGTTCACTCCCAGGCCAATGCATTCATGCCAGAGACCAGCCCCAGGAAGTGATTCTGGACCTCTCCTTCCAATAGATCTGGCTTTAGAGTAACTTCATGACATTTATAAGCCCCTTTTAAATCTTTCAGAAAATGTCCTTAGACATTTTCAGCCTCAGGGTTTGTCAGGGGGCTTTCAGGGGGCTTGAGAGTGAGTGGTAGTGTGTCAGTGTTTCTATGGATCTATCTCCAATTGGGACTTTAATTTCTAGCTGAAAGAAATTCTGAGTCATGGTGCTGAAGCCTCAATAGCACTTTGCTCATAAGCCTATTCTCGTTAAATGGGAATATTTATATACTTTATGTAAGGCTCAGGGTTTTAATTTTTTTTTGAAAAGTGACTGGATTTCCCTCCACTGAATGTCAGTCCAGGTAAGGTGATCTTTCCAGTCCCTTCTCCAAACACCAAACACCCCAATATCCTCAGATAAAGATGTTGGTATTAAATAAAATTATTCAACTTATGCCACTGATTCTCAACTGGATATGTATAGATGAGAAAGAAGAACTTAGGAAAATTGATTCAACATACACATTCTCCTCTTTCTTATCCTCTCCTTGTTCCCTGCCCATCCCCTCCAAATGGAAACCAGTAATCTATGTAACTCTTACCCTCTTCCTTCTTGTCCATAACTCCAGTGGTTTGGGCTCTCGCACTCAGGTTTTTAAATTATTTCAAGTTCTGGAATACATGTGCAGGACGTGCAGGTTTGTTACATAGGTAAACGTGTGCCATGGTGGTTTGCTGCACCTATCAACCCATCACCTAAGTATTAAGCCCAGCATTCATTAGGTATTTATCCTGATGCTCTCCCCTCCCACCAACAGGCTCTAGTGTGTGTTGTTCCCCTCCCTGTGTCCATGTGTTCTCATCGTTCAGCTCCCACTTGTAAGTGAGAACATGCAGTGTTTGGTTTTCTGTTCCTGTGTTAGTTTGCTGACGATAATGACTTCCAGCTCCATCTATGTCTCTGCAAAGGACACGATCTTGTTCCTTCTTGTGACTGCATAGTATTCCATGGTATATATGTACCACATTTTCTTTATCCAGTCTGTCACTGATGTGCATTTGGGGTGATTCCATGCCTTTGCTATTGTGAATAGTGCTGCAGTGAACATTAGCGTGCATGTATCTTTATAATAGAATGATTTATATTCCTTTGGGTATATATCCAGTCATGGGGTTGCTGGGTCAAATGGTATTTCTGGTTCTAGGTCTTTGAGGAATCACCACACTGTCTTCCACAATGATTGAACTAATTTACACTCCCACCGACAGTATAAAAGTGTTCCTATTTCTCCACAGCCTCATCAGCACCTGTTGTTTCCTGACTTATTAATAATTGCCATTCTGATAGGTGTGAGATGATATCTCATTGTGGTTTTGATTTGCATTTCTCTAATGATTAGTGATGTTGAGCTTTTGTTTTTCATATGTTTGTTGGCTGCATAAATGTCTTCTTTTGAGAAGCATCTGTTCATGTCATTTGCCCACATTTTAATAGGGTTGTTTTTTTTTTCTTGTAAATTCAAGTTCCTTGTAGATTCTGGATATTAGCCCTTTGTCAGATAGATAGACTGCAAAAATTTTCTCCCATTCTGTAGGTTGCCTGTTCACTCTGATGATAATTTCTTTTGCTGTTGCACTCAGTTTTGAAGCTCTCAATGGACAAATCCACACGGGCTTCAGCTTGGGGCGGATTTCAGGAATAATGGCTACAGGCATTGGAGTCAACCTTTAGGGTCATGTGGCAGCCATCACATTTTTTGCTACATGCTTAGGAGGTATCCTAACTTGTATCTGCAGGTCATTCTGGAGTTGAGACCTATAATCCCATGGGGAGCACTAGCTCTTCAGAGGTGAGGTAAGACAGACTATATTGGTATAATTGTCAGGTTTATTATCACAGAATGTATTGTAGGCAGGGTGATTGCTAAACGGAGAAATTCCCTTAAACTCAAGCCTGGAAGCTAGGGCTTGGTACCTGCTAGTGAAATTCCCTGATGCTGATCCTCGCTTTCTTGGAATATAAGCATTGCCCACTCCTACGTTTTTCATTATTATACTTGGGCCACCTGTTGAGATGCTTGGACCCTTGTCATTCCTCTTCTCTAAGCTGTAGCAATCACTATACAGCACCTTTGCCTTCCAGATTGAATTGTCCCCCAGTACCTATAAAAGAGCCTGTATTCTATGTGCCTGTCCTGTTCCATTAATCCAGTACTTTTTCAGGTCTTCTCATCCAGCCTGTTTTGTCCTGCAGTGAACCAGGCCTACCTAGCCCCATCCTCAGCTAGAATAAAAGCAACCATAAATATAAAAAGATTGAGTGAGCTGAGACCATAGTTCTTTTTTTAGTTCTTTAGATTCACTAACAACTGGGTTATATTTATTTGCTCACATATCTGTCTTTCATACAAGACAGTAAGCTCTGAGAGAAGTTACACTGTCCACAGGACCTTGGCATAAAGTAGGTCCTCTCTGAATGCTGGTTGAAATTAAAATGAAAAGTGTGTAACCAGCCACATGCCCTCTAAGTGACTTCAGGGTCTCCTCAGGACCTCCCCAGTGGTGTTGCCACTGACCGTCAAGGGCCACAAGACTCCGTGGGAAGAACTGAAGGTGCTCTGATGGCAGGTAAGGGGTGAATAGGGATTTGCATCCATAGGTTACTTCCTCCACATTAGTCTCTCTTTTAAGGTGTGAACTCCTCTTTAGGATTTGCAAGGAACTGTTTTGAGGCGGGAGAAGTGACAACTGGGAAAAAGTTGTTTTATTTTAAAAATAAGACAAGAGGCCCCGGTGTGTGATGTATACATATGTAACAAAGCTGCAGGTTGTGCACATGTACCCTAAAACTTAAAGTATAATAAAAAAAAGAAAAAAATATGAGACAAGAGTCATTTTTAGAAAGTACCCACCAGCGAGTTTGAAGTCCATTACTGGCAAACTGTCCAAATGGAAATACAAGTTTTGTGGGCACTCGTGGAGTGAGGTGACCATCAGCAGGAGATAGCATGGGGTTATGGAGTACAGATCACTCCAAACAATTTAATTTTCATCCTCTCTTTCTTTCCTTTAAATTTTTGATTGGGTTCTTTACTATCCTTGTAGACCAGGGAAACGTTGAACACAGTGTATCTGGATTTCGGCACAGCATCTGACAAAGCCCTTCATGATATCTTCATGGGTGAGATAGACAGAAGGGGGCTAATAAGAACATGATTAAGTTGATCTCTAATTGCTCGAATGACCATACCCCAAATTGACTGACTACATCATGAATATTATCACCAGTTTACAGATGAAACAAAGGGAAATTAAGTAAGACCCATGATCACATAACTAGCCTTGGGGTATTTTCAAAGTACTTTGTATAAATCCAAGGGGTTCTTACATCAGTTTTTCCTTATAAAATGTGGCACAAAGTAATCGAACAATCAGGCTCCTGTCTTTGCTTTGGTTCGCAATGAAATCAGTGATCATCAGGGCCTGTTTGCCTACAAAGATCAGTTTGAAGGAGAAAGTGGAAGAAAGATAAGGAAAACTCAGAGACTGTTATATAAATGGATCACAAAATGATTCCAAATGATAACACTGGGTTCTGAAGAACATGAAACTAAGTGGCTGGATAACTGCCTATCGACAGATGCTTTAAGATGATTTAGTTCTGCCTCAATTCATGTTAAAATAGAAACAGAACATGTGAAATCGGTGGAGCATCTCATTGGGTAAAATAAGCTCTGGGTGAGCAAGTTAACAACGTGACCTAGATGGCAAGGCTCTCTTTCCCAAGGACCATGTCACCTCTTTATTGTGTGATATGCTAAGTGTAAAAAGGAGGGTGAGGAATTCACTGTGGGGTGTGTGGGTGTGTGCATGGGCAAGCGTGGGCATGTATGTATTTGCATTTATATATTTAATCATATATGTGTGTCCAGGGATATACTGTATGCAATTAAGGGATTATTACCAATATATGTCCTTATGCAACATAACACAAAGTAATCTAGTAATCAGATCTCTCTTGTTTTTGCCTTCTGAAGAGGTACTCAGGGCATGTTTGCCTACAAAGATCAGCTTGAAGTAGAAACTGAGAAAAGGATAAAGAAAATCAGAGGCTGCTAGATGACTACATCACAGGAATTTTCTAAATGATAACAGTGGGTTATGAAGAACATGTAAGGAAAAGATAAAAATAACTGCCATTTCTGTTCTGATTATGGTGGCTCCTATTTAAGTCTCCCATCGCTAATGCCTTAGATAGGTTTTGCTCTTGATGGTTTGCAAAATATTTTCACACATGTCATCTTGTTGGATTTTACAACACTGCCATAAAGTAAAAATTAGGGATTAAAAACAATTCCCATTTTACAAATAATTCCCATTTTACAAATAAGCAAACTGAGCACCAAAGAATGGTAGAGCTTTGTCCAAAGTCACAATGGGGACCGTGACAAAGCTAAAACTCAATTTCAGGTCTCTAGGCCCTTATCCAGTGTTCTCTTTGTTAAGTCACATCGCCATCCCCTTTCGGAGGCATTTTCTGTGTTTCCTCTTTCCACTACTTCTATTGTTTTTCATGCCCTTAGCTACTAGCTTCTCCATTCCCTTTCTGCCTTCCTCATAATTTCTTTCACTCCTGATTTGGATAGAATCTAAGGCAGAAAATAGATGTGTGAGCTGGTGCCAGAAAACCATGTAAATTTCCCAACTTTAACCCTAGGTGAAGAAGTATAGGGTTATGTGTTTTGTGTGTGTGTATGTGTGTGTGTGTGTGTGTGTGTGTGTGTGTGTGTGTGTGTGTGTGTGCATGCGCAAGAATGTAGGGGATGGGGAATGCAAGAGGTGGGGTTCAGGTGAGTGTTGAGATCAGCAATGCAGAGAGTCAGGCCAAGAGTAAAACTTCAACCTCGACCATGGTTCTCAAAATGAAGTTTCATAATAGAACATCACCTCTACCAACCTCTTGACTGGTTTTCAAAACATACAGGTGTCTGCTCTCAATCAGTAACAAAAACCTTCACACCAACCATTGTTTAATAGTAAAACCTTAAGTTATCTGTTCAAAAACTCAGGTAAATGAAATGATTCTGCTAAGTTCTTCACTTTAGGTTTCAGTAAACCATATTGGATCTACAGCGTAGTATTACTAACCCCAAGCTCTTAGGTTACAACTTGTGGCCATGTGCATCATTGATAGAGAAATCCCCCCAAAAGTAAGCATGCCTTTCTTTTTTTTCTATATGTTTTAAAAATTGATTTTTAATTGACACATAATAATTGTACATATTTATGGGGTACATAGCGATGTTTTAATACATACAATGTATAGTGATCAGATCAGAGTAATCAGCATATCCATCATCTCAAACATTTATTATTTCTTTGTATTGGGAGCATTCAATATCCTGTCTTCTAGCTCTTTGAAAATATATGATATATCATTGCTAACTATAATAACACAACAATGCTATAGAATACTAGACTCATTCCTCCTATCTAGCTGAAATTTTGTATCATTTAACAAATCCCTCCTTATTCTCTCCCTTTCCCTCTACTCTTCTCAGCCTCTAGTAACCTCTGTTCCAATTTCTATTTCTGTAAGATCAACTTTGTAAGATTGCACATATGAGTGAGCTCATGCTATATTTGTCTTTCTGTGCCTCGCTTATTTCACTTAACATAACATCCTCCAGGCTCATCTATGTTGCCATGAATAACAGGATTTCATTCTTTTTTATGGCTGAATAGTATTCCATTGTGTGTATATGTGTGTGTGTGTGTGTGTATATATATATATATATCACGTTTTCTTTATCAGTTCATCCTTTGAAAGGCACTTAAATTGCTTCCATATCTTGGCTATTGTGAATGGTACCGCAGTAAACACAGGGGTGCCAATATCTCTTTGATACACTGATTTCCTTTCCTTTAGATAAATACCTAGTTATGGGATTGCTGGATCATATGGTAGTTCTATTCATTGTTTTTTGAGGAACCTCCATATTGTTCTCTGTAATGGCTGTACTAGTTTATATCCCCACAATCAGTGCATAAGTGTTACCCTTTCTCTGTATCCTTGCCTGTCTTTTTTATTTTTAATCTTTTTTATACAGTAGCCATTCTAACAGATATGAGGTGATATCTCATTGTGGTTTTGATTTGCATTTCCCTGATAATTAGTGATATTGAGCATTTTTAAATATACTTGTTGGCCATTTCTTTCACACTGTGCAGAGTAACCTGGGACCAGCACACTACCTCCAATAGCTTTTGTCATGGAAACTTATATATGGAGAGAAGAAAATTAAACACTTGAGGTTTCCAGACTAGATAAGGTGGGCATTTTAGCTCTCTGAAATGCCACTCCCTACTCAACAACAAAAATAGAAAATGAGGGTCAAGTAATGGAAGAAGAAACATGCTTCTAATATTTCAAATATGCAATGATACCAAAGGGATTGACATCATTGTTGTGATTTAAATTCCAATTTGGTTTTGAGTTTCCTAGTAGCCATGACAAAAATGGAAAATGGTCTGAACCACCCTTCCAGTCCATGAGAATGTGACTAGTACTAGAATTACTTCTTTGAAACATTAAAAAAATATTAAAGAACTTTCTTTTGTTTTTTACTATATCCACCTCCAATTTAACCACTAATCTCCTATCAACAGTTTTTATAAGAGAAATGTTTTTTTCTAATCTCAGAAAAAATAGATATTTGGGATTGCGATGGACTCAACACTTAAAGAAATACATTGATATGCCTAATTTAATTCATCCATTCCTGTCATTCCTTGGCTTGGAATTTACTTATAGGAGAAGTAAGACAAGGTGTTTTTTTTTTTTTTTCTTTGACAGGGTGTATTAGTCCATTTTCACGCTGCTGATAAAGACATACCTGAGACTGGGCAATTTACAAAAGAAAGAGGTTTAATGAACTTACAGTTGCACCTGGCTGGGGAGGCCTC
The DNA here is from genome assembly GCF_000001405.40 of Homo sapiens. Lineage (NCBI taxonomy): Eukaryota > Metazoa > Chordata > Mammalia > Primates > Hominidae > Homo > Homo sapiens. The sequence continues at coordinate 178,010 of NW_025791818.1, read as the reverse complement.
GCAATCATGGCGGAAGTCAAGGCGGAGCAAGTCACATCTTAGGTGAATGGCAGCAGGCAAAAAGAGGGCTTGTGCACAGAAACTCCCGTTTTTAAAAGCATCAGATCTCGTGAGACCCATTCACTATCACGAGAACAGCATAGGAAAGACCCACCCGCATGGTTCAATCATCTCCCCCCAGGTCCCTCATACAACACGTGGGGATTATGGGAGCTACAAAATGAGATTTAGGTGGGGACACAGAGCCAAACCATATCACAGGGTCTTGCCCTGTCACCCAGGCTGGAGTGCAGTGGGGTGATCTCGTCTCACTGCAACTTCTGAATCCCAGGCTCAAGTGATCCTCCCTCCTCAGCCTCCTGAGTAGCTAGGACTACAGGTGAGCACCACTACACCCAGCTAATTTTGGTATTTTTTGTAAAGATGGGGTTTTGTCGTGTTGATCAGGCTGGTCTCCAACTCCTGGGCTCAAGAGTTCTGTCCACCTTGGCCTCCCAAAGTGCTGGGATTACAAGCATTAGCCACCGCGCTGGACTGTTAAGTTTGTTTCTAATCAATAATTTACTTATGCAAATATGTAAAAAACATCCATGTTGCTTGCAAAGTGATTCTACCCCAAGAGACTAATTGTTTTAATGCTTGCTAGTTTGGCTGTGCTTCTCCATGTTGGGGAGCCTTTAGTAGCTATTCTTTTTTTTTATTATTATTACACTTTAAGTTCTGGGATACGTGTGCAGAACGTGCAGGTTTGTTACATAGGTATACATGTGCCATGGTGGTTTGCTGCACCCATCAACCCGTCATCTACATTAGGTATTTATCCTAATGCTATCCCTCCCCTAGCCCCCCATCCCGCTACAGGCCCCCGTGTGTGATGTTCCCCTCCCTGTGTCCATGTGTTCTCATTGCTCAACTCACACTTATGAGTGAGAACATGCGGTGTTTGGTTTTCTGTTCCTGTGTTAGTTTTCTGAGAATAATGGTTTCCAGCTCTTAAGAGGTATTTGCAATCTCTGTATACCCTTTGCCATGCAAGACTGACATTCCAGAGACTGTTCATTTCACCCCTGTTTTCTTGCAATTTAAATAAGCTGCTAAGTGGAAGGTGTGTTTTGGTTGTAGTATCACATCATGAACAGCTCTGCACGATAAACAGAATTAAAGAGTATTATCATGATTTTCCACTAATTTACATTTTTTTCCATAGAGAGTGAACACTTTACTAAATCAGCTATGCATAAACAGTAACTAGTATTAACATAAACATTAAATATAAATAGGATATAATTTAAAGCAAAATTTAGGGAACTACAAACACCTGGGTACAATTAGGTATCTTACTCATCTTTGTTACAAATTCCAATCTTTTATTTGTTCTGCTTTGGGCTTTAATAAAAAAAAAAATTTAACCCTTTCTCTTACCTCTCTGCAGCATGTAAAAAGGCTTTGCCTTGTATTTAGCATTCTAACTGTTGGAGTGACAGTTATAGCATTCTGTGGTGGCCACATGTAATGGGGTGGATAATTAAAATAATTCTCTCATTATATGAATATATCACAGCCTAATACTGAGTTAATTCCCCAAGTTTCCTTCTTTACAGATATCATCTTTTTTTCTGTAAGCTACTACACAAAAATTCGAATAGAATATGTTACAGTCATGTTGGACTGCCCCATAGTTCAGGCCTTAGATTCTGAACTCTCTTACTACACTTTAATCTTATATGATTTCGTCTATTGCCACAGATTTAAATATCACTTTTGTATATGGCTACAAAATTTATAACTCTATTCAAACTGCCTACCTGAGTTTCCACTTAAATATCTTGTAGGCTTCTCAAACTTACTATATCGAAAACCGAACTGATTCCTCTACCACCATCTCAATCCTCTGCAGTCTTACACTTCAGTAAATGGTACCACCATCAACCCAGCTGTTTAAACTCAAAACTTTGGAATCATCCTTGATTCCTGTCATTTCTCATCCTCCATGGCCAGTATATCAGTGTGTCATATTAGTTCTACCTCTTCTCCACATTGCCAATGCCACCACCCTGGTCCCAGCCACCATACTGTGTTGCTTGAACCATGGCCACAGCTTCTGTGCTGAGCTCCCTGCCTCCTACCTTGCTTCCTCACATTCTATTTTCCTTCAAAAACTGAAAACCAGTCCATGTCCATTTTGATCCCCTACTGAAATACTTTAAAGACTTCCTGTAGCATTTGGAAAAAAATTCAGAATTATCCCCATAACTATAAGGCTCTACATGATCTAGCTGCCCCCTAACTTGTCAACTATCTCCCTCAGGGAACTGAAACCCAGTTGGGCCTCCTTTGTTTTTTTTTAGTTTAAAGTGCATTGCTATCTCAATATTACATTATAATTTTTGTTCTCTGCTTGAGGCTTTTTCCCAGGTCCTTTGAATGCCTGGCTCCTTGTTATGCTTCAGGTCTTAGCTCAAATATCCTTTCTCAGAGTAGTGTTCCTGACAATGCCACAGTGCCTCTAATGCTCCCCTTAACTTTCTATCACATTCCCCAGTTTTATTTCTTTCATATCACTTACCACAAATTAAAAATATCTTATTGATTTACTTGTTTCTGGTATGTCTTTCCCCAGCTAGAATGTAAGGTTCTCAAAGGCAGGGACCTTGTATGTATTGACATTTCTGTTCTCCAGAATCTTAAGCTCTATCAGGAACTGCTGCCTACATAATAAATATTTATTAAACTGCAAATGAAGGAATTCAATATGTCTATCAACAGTAGTATGAATACCAGATTCCCCAACCCCTGCCTTTTTTTAAACCAACATTGGATTATTGTGGTCTTTCAAAAGAGTGAAACTTCTTTATACCCTTAATGACTACTTTGGGATTTATATAATTAAAGTGTGGTGAATAAAACCTTTCCTGCCTTATTGTTCCCATTGCTAGAGAACCAATTCTGCCAGTGATAGCTTCTGAATAACTCCATGGGCTAAATAGGGCCACATACTTCACGGACTTTCTAAGAAACCATTGCACACTCTAGTAGAAATGGACAACCAGAGTAGGAAGCGGGTAGTTGTCAAGAGGGCAAGCCACTTTTCCATTGCAAGTTGTACTGAGAGAAGCCTGGCCGGCACTTGATTGAGAAGAAATGCTTTGAAATTAAAATTTGCAATTTATTGAATTAGCCTGCAGTGGGTTGTTTTCTTGTTGCCAGCGTCCTGAATGCTATGAGCTCTACCTGAGATGTCATTAGGAGACAAGGACATAGTTGAAGGCAGTGATGAGGGGATGGAGGAAGGAATTTCATGTTTATAATCCACCAACTTCTGACTTTTAAATAAAGAGCTTATGGTTATAAAGCTTATGCTTTCTTAGTTATTACTAAAATTACAAAGCCTACATGACTTTTAATAAATATTTTCTTTAAAATTACCCATTTCCAGCTACAAAATGCAAACTCTTTGAGAATATAACTAGACAAAAGGTAGAGTTGAAATCACAATGGAGGCTAGGTGCGTGTCCTTTCCTATCCTAAATTTCTTAATATGCTGGAAAGATATTTTAAAATTTAAACAAACTCAAGACAACTAAAAGAATCACACAAGTACAAACAAAGAATACAAATCCACCTAAAATATCCATGGGAAATTTTAAAAATTGACCATATTTTAAGGTACCAAAAATTTTAATTCCTGCATTAATCAGAATTGGCTAGATTGTGCTGCAATTACAAATAAACCCTGAAATCTCAGTGGCTGCTCAAATTCTCTCTCTTACACTTCTCTCTTACACAAAATCTGATGGAAGCTGGATTTCTCTAATCTATCTTAATCCACCTGAAACATGTAAACTTATATGTTGCCAAGACAGGGCAAGAGAGAGCTTTAAATTATCTGATATGGTTTGGATGTTTTGTCCCCTCGAAATCTCATGCTGAAATATAATCTCCAATGTTGGAAGTGGGGCCTGGTGTTGGGTCATGGGGGTGGATCCCTCATGAATGGTTTGGTGCTCTCCTCTCTGTAATGAGTGAGTTTTTTCTCTGAGTTCATGAGAGGGATGGTTGTTTGAAAGAGTGTGGCACCTCCCCGTCCCTTGCTTTCTCTCTTACCATGTGATACGCTGGCTCCCCCTTCACCTTCCACCATGACTGGAAGCTTCCTGAGGCCCTCATCAGAAGCAGATGCTGGTACCATGCTTCCTGTACAGCCTGCAGAACTGTGAGCCAAAATAAATCTCTTTCCTTTACAAATTACCCACCCTCAGGTATTCCTTTATAGTGATGCATATGGGCTAACACAACCTCAGCCCCAAAGTGAGACATGTACCTTCTCACAACAATAACAACAAAACAGTAGACTTGATCCATAAAACCAAAAGCTTTTTTTTCCTAAAAATTAAATAAAATTAGTCAAATGTGACTTAAAAAGCCAGAAAAAACACAAATTACATTAGAAATGATAAATGAGGTATAACCACAGACCCAGAAGAAACTTTGTTAAAATATTGTATTTAACCTCTACTGGTAATTTTGTAAATTTTTTAAGAGATGGAAAATATGAATAAGAATAATGTCTGAATTTCTGATATAGTTTTAGAATAATTCCTATACAGAGATAATTAATAATTATAGAAGAAATTAAAAAGGTAACCAAAAGTTTGCCCCTAAAAACAATAGTAGGCTCAAGTAATTTTATGGGTGAGTTATATCAAATCTTCAAGAAACAGATAATCTCTATATTATATGAACAGTTTTAGAAGATAGAGAAATATGGAATGTCAACTAACCCATTATACAAAGCCGGCAAAATAATGATACTAAAAACAATCAAGATAACACACAGAAAAGGAACTATGGGTTCATTTGTGTACAATAATAACATAAACTTATTGAGTACATTCTGTCATGCCAGACACAGTTCAAAGCCTTGTAAGTACTATGCTGTTTCCCAAAATAATGAAGAAATCCCACCTTTAGCAGTGGTGGAATAGGTTGCTTTATACCAATCCTCCTGCTGAAGACAGTGAATGAAGCTCAATAATAATATTTCAAAGCACTTCTTTGGAGTCATCAGGGAACTAACAAGGCAGGGAGGATTTTCAGGGCCAAGGTCCCAGACAGAAGCCCAGGGAGGGGAGTCTGGTATTTTATGCTGCTTTACCCTACTAAGAAATTATTGATTCTGAAAAGTAGTGGATGAGAGGCCAAGCAGCTGAGCTGAGCTTTTGACAGACTCATGGAAAGCAATAAATTAAGAGCTCAATGGATAGATTTAAGAACAAATTAAATAAAACTGAAAAGAAAATTAGTGAATAGAAATATAATTTTGAAGAAAAAATTTTAGACTGAAGCACAAAAGGGACAAAAGAATAAAAATACAGAAATGAACGTAAGATAATATGACATAGTGTGACAGAGTCTAACATATGTGAGACTGGAATCCTAGAAGAAGAGAGAAGTGATGTTTAAGTAGATAATGACTGAGAATTTTCTAAAATTGATGAAACATATTGAAACAAAGATTATGAAAGTCCTATAAAATTCAAGCATGGTTTCTCTTGTATACATTATAGTCAAACTGCTGAAAAACCAAAGACAAACAGAAAATCTTAAAACCAGCCAGAAGAAAAAGGACATATCCTTTTCAAAGGAGAAACTGTGAGATTGATATTGACCTGTCAAAGAAACAGTAGAAGCCAGAAGCAAATAAAATGACATCTTTAAAATAGTGAAAGAAAATAACCACCGACCTGGAATTCTTTATTCATTAAGTTATCTTTAACAAATGAAGGGAAGACACAGACATTTTCAAATAAAAAGTAATTAAGGGAATTCATCACCAGGACACCTGCACTAAAAGAAATACCTAAATACTGCTTTTCAGGCAGCAGAAAAATTATCCCAAGTAGATGCAAGAAAGAATAAAGAGCAATAGAAAAGGTAATTATTACTATATGGAAAAATCTGAATAAATATTGCTTCTGTTTACACAAAAATAACAATTAAAAAAAACATTTTATAAAAACAACAAATACCACAAGTGGCAGGAGGGAGTAAATGGAATTGGAATGTTTTAAGGTCCCTGCATACACTTGTGCTAATTTGAAAAACAACAATGCATGTTACAATCTCTAGATTAACCATTAAAGGAATAAGCAGATTAAAAAAATCAGTAAGTATATAGAACATGTGAACATGGTTAACACATTTGACTTCATTGACATTTATAGAACACAGCATTTAACAATGGCGGAATTTTTTTTCAATTGCACATGGAATATTTACCAAAATCAACCATTATTGGACCATAAAGCAAGGCTCAACAAATTTCAAAGGGCTGAAATCGCATAGATTAGAATGTCTGACCATAGTAGAAATAAGCTAGAAATCAATAACAAAAGATAACTAGAAAATTACCACATATTTGAAAATTAACACACTTAAAAATAACCAATGGGTCAAAACTGGAATCACAGTGAAAATTTGAAAATACTTAGAACTGCAGGAGCAAAAATGAAATATAAAAACATAATGGAAAGGAAGAGGCAAACTGTTATTTTATGTGTTTCTAATTATAAAATCCAAGAAAACCAACCGGAAGACTACTGGAACTTATAAGCACTCAGAGATAGCTGATTACCACATAAAAATCAATAGCTTTTCCATACAGTAGCAAAAGCTGATTAGAAAATGTCATGGTGAAAATATTTCACATTGCAATGGCAAGAAATAGTATAAATACATAAAAATAAACTGAACAAGAAATGTGCCATACTAAATGAAAAATGTTATATTTTGCTGATGGATATAAAGATGGATGGAAATTGAGAAACATACCTGGAACCTGGATGGCATGCAGTGTAGGGTTAGGAATATTGACTCTGGCTCCAGGAATCTGGAGCCCAGCCTGCTCAACTTCAAATCCTGGCTCTGTCACTTCCTAGCAGTGTGACTTTGGCCTATTACTTAAACCTCTTTGTGCCTCAATTTTATTTCCCTGTAAAGTGTCAGTAGCCATAGAGTTAAGGTTCACTGAGGAATCAATGAGTTATTCTACCATGATTAACCTATATAAGGCTGTGTGACCTGCACCCTGCTCTCCTGATTCCCTGTATCCTACTTTCCCTCCTCATTTTATTTTCTATAGCACTAACTACCCTCTAGCATATGATATCATTTACTTATTTTTGTTTGTTTGTTTTGAGGCAGGGTCTTGCTATTACCCAGGCTGGAGTGCAGTGGTGTGATCATCACTCATTGCAACCTTGATCTCCTGGGCTCAAGCGATCTTCCCACCTCAGCCTCCCAAGTAGCTGGGACCACAGGCATATGCCACCACGTCCAGCTAATTTTTAAACTTTTTGTAGAGATGGGATCTCCCTATGTTGCCCAGGCTGGCCTCAAACTCCTGGACTCAAGTGATCCTCCCGCTTTGGCCTCCCAAAGTGCTGGGATTACAGACGTGAGCCACCGCACCAGGCCGTATTTCTTATTTATTGACTGACTACCTCTGCCAAAATATAAGCTTCTTGAGGGCAAGAATCTCTGTTTTAATTTTTTGACATAAGAAATAAAATAAAATATAAATACATGTCTATATTTTTGAAAATATACCCCAAATGCTTAGATAATTTACTTGGCACCTGGCAGGGAAAATAGAATCATACCTGGTACACAATAAGCACTATTATTATAGTAAAGATGTCAGTTCTCCAGAAATTATAAATGTAATGCAACCCAATTAATATCACAGTGAGATGTTTTATAGAATTTGAGAAGCTGATTCTAGAATTCATTAGAAAGAGAAAGCAACAAAAGCGAATAAAACTTTTTAAAGGAACATGGTAGGAGGGGCTCGTCTTGCCATTAATCAGCACAATGACTTATTGGCACAGGAATAGACAAATAGATCCGTGAGATTGTGTGTGTGTGTGTGTGTGGGTGGGTGTTTGTAAAGATAGCATTTCACATGAGTGGAGAATAAACTATTCCATACCTAGTGTGGGCATAATTGACTGTTGGTTATCTTTCTATAAGATCTTTCCCACACCCTCCCAGCTTAAAAGCAATTCCTAATGGACTAAATAGCTTCTGTTTTTGATCATCTACTAACATGATTTTTAAATCAATATTTTCTCATTACTGCTTGCAATGATTTTCAAGTAGTTAAGCCTGAGTTCTGTTGATTTAAGTTGAGTTCCAAATCAAAGGGGCTCTGGTTTTAATTCCTGCACCTGCTACTAATTTTCTTTGTGTCCTTGAGCAAAGCACTTCCCCTTTAAGTGCTCAGTTCCATTGTCTACGAAGTGAGAAGTTTTTATTCAATTAATTAAGATACAGACAAGTTCAACTAACTGTTAGGTGATTTTAAATAATCCTCACAGCTCATTTTCTTCCTATTTTATAGTTGAAGAAACTAAGGTTCAGAAGAACAATGGCCTGTCCAGGATCTCACAACCAGCATCTACTTGTTCCAGTTCAAGTTAGGTTTGGCTGTTAATAACATCACCTGGTGGATCAAGGTAGAGGTTTGGGTTTTTTCCCAGTAAAATCAGCACAGTGTTAGGCAGTCCAAGGATAGTTTTAAGGAAGAAGGGGAAAATAAAATTGACTCAACAACTAGCATTTCGGTTACAGTGGTGAAATCTCACATCCAGGTCTACTGATCTATGTGTGATGCTCTTTTCATTAAATCTATAGACCTGACCCTCAGATTTGTAGAGACAACTTGGAGAGAAGATCAACATAGATTTCATGGAGGGAATGGCACTCGGGTTGTGCCTGCATTGATGGCTAGGAGGTGGACAGTTGGAGCCGGGATTCAGGGAATGCTTTGTTGTGGTGGGAACAGGATGGTCATGGACTGCAAGGGGAGGGGAAAGATGAGGGACAGGGTGTGGCTAAGATTGATTGGGTCCAGCATGGGTAATGGGAGGCTGGCAGTGACCCAGGCTGCTAGTAGTATGGCTTGTAGAGCATAGTTTCTTAAAGACATTAAGACATTATTCATGAAAGACATTATATGCCTGGGGGACCTTGGCATCCCCTGCCCTCAAAAAATTAAAAGAAAACAAACACGGTACCAGCAGGGATGGAACAGGCTAGAGGCTAGGGGATGGCACTTTATGTGGAGAGTTGGCTCAACTCAAAAAATTAGCTCCTGCTTGCCTGTCCAGGGTTGCTGATGTCTCTCCTTTGGGTTCAGGTAGCAGTTCCTAAACTTTGCTGTACATTGGAATCACCTGGAATCATCTTTAACAAACACTGCCCACTGGCTCCTGCCTTTAGAGATCCGATTTGAGTAGTATGGAGTGTAACCTGGGCTTCAAGAGTTGGAAACGCTCTGTAGGTGATTGGAATTCTTGGTCAGATTCGAAATCCACCAGGTGAAGGCATTGAATGCGAAATGTTAACCGTGAATTATATTTGGTGCCATTATGATTACATATAACATTGTATATAATGTTACCTATTATTATTGATACAGTTTTCCATTATATAGGCAGGCTGGGAGACAGTCCCAGCCCAGCCCTGGGCGCTTGCTGCCGCCTTGCCTGCAGAGCCACTAACCCAGAGGGCTTCACACAGTGAGGAGGGTGCCTTATTTGGCAGTATCTAACTCTGAGGCGCTGCATCCCCCGTTAGCACTTTCACAAGATGCTTTAGCACGCATTTGAGGCCTTCCGGGTTGAAAAACCAACAAAAGCAATTGAAAAGATGAATTTCCTGGGATTTAAAAGGTACTTATAATCACATCTCTCTTGCCACCCCCTGCCCTCCCAACTAGTGGGTTGGTTGGTCTCGTTTCAGTTGTGTAAGAGCTCTTTTAGCAGGGAACTAAAAGTCCTGGGCTAGAGTTGGCAGGGTCGGTGGGTAAGGCTTGGCTTGCTCTGGGGGCCAGGGCAGAGCTCTGGAGCCAGGGCGTGTCCATTTGGTCAGGGACCACTCCCCATCCCCGACTTTTCTGGGCTCCACGGGCTCTGCACAGTCAAGCTGTTTCCTGCCTTATCAGCAAAGGAGCTGGAGAAATGGAGAAGTGACAGCCATCTGTGTAAATTAACTCATTACCAGTAAAAAATTTGCAACACCTGGTATAAATTTCGCTGAGTTCAAAGTTGTAGCAGATAAAGGTACAATTAGGCTGAGAAGCTGCCTATTGGTGGCCGGGTAGGTGAGAGTGTGGGCGAAGGGCTTGCAGAGCCACAGTGGGGCTCTGTTTGCAAGTGGGAGCGGAGGCTGGGAGTTAGTGGCCTGCTGGCCTCCTCAGTGTTTAGCTGAAATTGCTGCTATTGTCAATAGAGATTGACAATTTAAAGAGCTACAAGAGCCTTGTCTGCTGATTGAATTTATTTATCAGCCGCATATTTTTGATCATGAGTAGAGGTGGCTTATCAAAAAGACGCGACGTGATGATGCATAAACCATTTTGTTTTGTTTAGCGAAAGTTGAAGTAAATTACATTTGTTATTTCAGTATTGCCTCGTCAAATTCTCAGGAGAACAATAATTCTAGAGCTCACTCAGAGTAGAGCAGACCAGCTCAATTATTAAAGTATTGAAAGGGAAGGCTGAGCAAGAAAGATTTGCTGTTGTAGCAGTTCCCTTTTCCTGAAGCATTTCCCCTTCAACTGATGGGAAAAAGAGTGAAGGAGAAGGTGCAGGAAAGGAGAAAGGGCAGTTGTTGTTTTGTAGCTGGAGGCTTTTATTTCCCCAGTGAGGGCCAGGTTTGCTGAAGAAAGAGGTCTATCTATGAAGGTTTTGGTCTAAAGGTTAATAGGATGTCAGAGAAAGTGAGAAAAAGGGAAGGCACTTGGAAAAGGATATGAATGACTTTCAAAGAGAGATTCTATTTGATTGTAAAAAAACAGATTACAGGTCAAATAAGTACACAGTAAAGTAATAATGGTTAAAATATACCTAGTTCTAAATATGTGCTGGCAGCTTTCTAAATATTTTACATATATTAACTAATTTAGTCTCAGAATAAGCTCATGAGGTAGAAACTAGTATTACCATCCCCTTAATGGTTGAAAAAACTAGGGCAAAGATAATTTGCTTAAGGTCAAAAGTGAGTATGCAGTGGAACCAAAATTTGGTTCCAGTAGGTATGGTTCTAGACCCTATTCTCTTGATCAACAGTACTCAAACTGTAGTCCTGGACCAGCAGCACCTCCATCCCCTAGGAACTTGTTAGAAACGCAAACTCTGAAGCCCCACCCCAGACCTGCTGAATCAGAGACTCTGGGGTTTGGGCCAGGAATAAGATCTAACCAATCTAATTTCTCTAATTTTTTCTTGGGATCCTCTTTTGCTGTGAGATCCTGCTGGCTGAGGTTACGTATTATTGGTTTTCTATTGCTGCTTTAACAAATCACCACAAACTTAGTGGCTTAAAACAATACAGATTGCAGTTCTAGAGATCATAAGTCAGCTATGGGTCTTACAGGGCTAAAGTCAAATTATGGGCAGGGCTGTGTTCTTTTCTGGAGGATTTAGGGAAGAATTGGATTCCAAGCTCATTCAGATGTTGGCAGAACTTAGTGCCTTGCTGTTGCAGAACTGAGGTCCCCCTTTCATTGCTGGCTGTCTTGCAGGGGCTGCCCTTAATTATTGAAGGCCTCCCTGTGGTTCTTTCACACAGCCTCCTACATCTCAGAACAAGGAACAATGCATCAAATCTTTCTGATGCTGCCATCTTTCTGATTCAGCGAGGGAAGTTTATCTCTCTTAAGGACTCATGTGCTTTGATTGGATCCACCTAAGTGAACCAGCATGCTCTCCCTATCATAAGGTTCACACCCTTAATCATATCTGCAAAGTCCTTTTTACTTTGAATAAGGTCACATATTTACGGTGAATAAGGTCACGTATTCACAGTTTCTGGGATTAGGGTGTGAATATATTTGGGGGTTCCATTATTCTGTCTACCATAAATTACTCGCTTAATATTTTCTATGCTTCCACAAAAAAGGGTGTGTGTGTGTGGTGCTCTACATGTTTTCTTCTTTTTAGTAAAAGAGGGATCTTACCATTTTGTTTTACAACTGGCTTTTTGTTCACTTAACAGCATGTAATAGGCATCTTTCCAAATATTACACATAGTTCTGCCTCATTCCTTTGAAGGGCTGCCCAGTGGTCCAGGAGATGGTTGCATGTTACATCATTTCTTTAACCTACTCTCATTGGTGGATATTTCAGCTGTTTTTATTTTTCATCTCTTTAAATACAGAGACAGTGACCATCATTGTACCTATGTCTGTGCATTTCTATACCTTTGTCTTCCTATCGTCTGTTTTCCAAACAGCAGCCAGTGCATGATCATTTTAAAGCATAAGCCTACTTGGTACCTTTCTTTTTTTTTTATTATACTTTAAGTTTTAGGGTACATGTGCACATTGTGCAGGTTAGTTACATATGTATACATGTGCCATGCTGGTGCGCTGCACCCACTAACTCGTCATCTAGCATTAGGTATATCTCCCGATGCTATCCCTCCCCCCTCCCCCCACCCCACAACAGTACCCAGAGTGTGATATTCCCCTTCCTGTGTCCATGTGATCTCATTGTTCAATTCCCACCTATGAGTGAGAATATGTGGTGTTTGGTTTTTTGTTCTTGCGATAGTTTACTGAGAATGATGATTTCCAATTTCATCCATGTCCCTACAAAGGACATGAACTCATCATTTTTTATGGCTGCATAGTATTCCATGGTGTATATGTGCCACATTTTCTTCATCCAGTCTATCATTGTTGGACATTTGGGTTGGTTCCAAGTCTTTGCTATTGTGAATAATGCCGCAATAAACATACGTGTGCATGTGTCTTTATAGCAGCATGATTTATAGTCCTTTGGGTATATACCCAGTAATGGGATGGCTGGGTCAAATGGTATTTCCAGTTCTAGATCCCGGAGGAATCGCCACACTGCCTTCCACAATGGTTGAACTAGTTTACAGTCCCACCAACAGTGTAAAAGTGTTCCTATTTCTCCACAGCCTCTCCAGCACCGGTTGTTTCCTGACTTTTTAATGATTGCCATTCTAACTGGTGTGAGATGGTATCTCATTGTGGTTTTGATTTGCATTTCTCTGATGGCCAGTGATGGTGAGCATTTTTTCATGTGTTTTTTGGCTGCATAAATGTCTTCTTTTGAGAAGTGTCTGTTCATGTCCTTCGCCCACTTTTTGATGGGGTTGTTTGTTTTTTTCTTGTAAATTTGTTTGAGTTCATTGTAGATTCTGGATATTAGCCCTTTGTCAGATGAGTAGGTTGCGAAAATTTTCTCCCATTTTGTAGGTTGCCTGTTCACTCTGATGGTAGTTTCTTTTGCTGTGCAGAAGCTCTTTAGTTTAATTAGATCCCATTTGTCAATTTTGGCTTTTGTTGCCATTGCTTTTGGTGTTTTAGATATGAAGTCCTTGCCCATGCCTATGTCCTGAATGGTAAAGCCTAGGTTTTCTTCTAGGGTTTTTATGGTTTTAGGTCTAACGTTTAAGTCTTTAATCCATCTTGAATTGATTTTTGTATAAGGTGTAAGGAAGGGATCCAGTTTCAGCTTTCTACATATGGCTAGCCAGTTTTCCCAGCACCATTTATTAAACAGGGAATCCTTTCCCCATTGCTTGTTTTTCTCACGTTTGTCAAAGATCAGATAGTTGTAGATATGCGGCGTTCTTTCTGAGGGCTCTGTTCTGTTCCATTGATCTATATCTCTGTTTTGGTACCAGTACCATGCTGTTTTGGTTACTGTAGCCTTGTAGTATAGTTTGAAGTCAGGTAGTGTGATGCCTCCAGCTTTGTTCTTTTGGCTTAGGATTGACTTGGCGATGCGGGCTCTTTTTTGGTTCCATATGAACTTTAAAGTAGTTTTTTCCAATTCTGTGAAGAAAGTCATTGGTAGCTTGATGGGGATGGCATTGATCTGTAAATTACCTTGGGCAGTATGGCCATTTTCACGATATTGATTCTTCCTACCCATGAGCATGGAATGTTCTTCCATTTGTTTGTATCCTCTTTTATTTCGTTGAGCAGTGGTTTGTGGTTCTCCTTGAAGAGGTCCTTCACATCCCTTGTAAGTTGGATTCCTAGGTATTTTATTCTCTTTGAAGCAATTGTGAATGGGAGTTCACTCATGATTTGGCTCTCTGTTTGTCTGTTGTTGGTGTATAAGAATGCTTGTGATTTTTGTATATTGATTTTGTATCCTGAGACTTTGCTGAAGTTGCTTATCAGCTTAAGGAGATTTTGGGCTGAGACGATGGGGTTTTCTAGATATACAATCATGTCGTCTGCAAACAGGGACAATTTGACTTCCTATTTTCCTAATTGAATACCCTTTATTTCCTTCTCCTGCCTGATTGCCCTGGCCAGAACTTCCAACACTATGTTGAATAGGAGTGGTGAAAGAGGGCATCTCTGTCTTGTGCCAGTGTTCAAAGGGAATGCTTCCAGTTTTTGCCCATTCAGTATGATATTGGCTGTGGGTTTGTCATGGATAGCTCTTATTATTTTGAAATACGTCCCATCAATACCTAATTTATTGAGAGTTTTTAGCATGAAGGGCTGTTGAATTTTGTCAAAGGCTTTTTCTGCATCTATTGAGATAATCATGTGGTTTTTGTCTTTGGCTCTGTTTATATGCTGGATTACATTTATTGATTTGCGTATATTGAACCAGCCTTGCATCCCAGGGATGAAGCCCACTTGATCATGGTGGATAAGATTTTTGATGTGCTGCTGGATTCGTTTTGCCAGTATTTTATTGAGGATTTTTGCATCAATGTTCATCAAGGATATTGGTCTAAAATTCTCTTTTTTTGTTGTGTCTCTGCCCGGCTTTGGTATCAGAATGATGCTGGCCTCATAAAATGAGTTAGGGAGGATTCCCTCTTTTTCTATTGATTGGAATGGTTTCAGAAGGAATGGTACCAGTTCCTCCTTGTACCTCTGGTAGAATTCGGCTGTGAATCCATCTGGTCCTGGACTCTTTTTGGTTGGTAAGCTATTGATTATTGCCACAATTTCAGCTCCTGTTATTGGTCTATTCAGAGATTCAACTTCTTCCTGGTTTAGTGTTGGGAGAGTGTATGTGTTGAGGAATTTATCCATTTCTTCTAGATTTTCTAGTTTATTTGCATAGAGGTGTTTGTAGTATTCTCTGATGGTAGTTTGTATTTCTGTGGGATCGGTGGTGATATCCCCTTTATCATTTTTTATTGCATCTATTTGATTCTTCTCTCTTTTTTTCTTTATTAGTCTTGCTAGTGGTCTATCAATTTTGTTGATCCTTTCAAAAAACCAGCTCCTGGATTCATTAATGTTTTGAAGGGTTTTTTGTGTCTCTATTTCCTTCAGTTCTGCTCTGATTTTAGTTATTTCTTGCCTTCTGCTAGCTTTTGAATGTGTTTGCTCTTGCTTCTCTAGTTCTTTTAATTGTGATGTTAGGGTGTCAATTTTAGATCTTTCCTGCTTTCTCTTGTGGGCATTTAGTGCTATAAATTTCCCTCTACACACTGCTTTGAATGTGTCCCAGAGATTCTGGTATGTTGTGTCTTTGTTCTCGTTGGTTTCAAAGAACATCTTTATTTCTGCCTTCATTTCGTTATGTACCCAGTAGTCATTCAGGAGCAGGTTGTTCAGTTTCCATGTAGTTGAGCGGTTTTGAGTGAGATTCTTAATCCTGAGTTCTAGTTTGATTGCACTGTGGTCTGAGAGACAGTTTGTTATCATTTCTGTTCTTTTACATTTGCTGAGGAGAGCTTTACTTCCAACTATGTGGTCAATTTTGGAATAGGTGTGGTGTGGTGCTGAAAAAAATGTATATTCTGTTGATTTGGGGTGGAGAGTTCTGTAGATGTCTATTAGGTCCTCTTGGTGCAGAGCTGAGTTCAATTCCTGGATATCCTTGTTAACCTTCTGTCTTGTTGATCTGTCTAATGTTGACAGTGGGGTGTGAAAATCTCCCATTATTATTGTGTGGGAGTCTAAGTCTCTTTGTAGGTCTCTAAGGACTTGCTTTATGAATCTGAGTGCTCCTGTATTAGGTGCATATATATTTAAGATAGTTAGCTCTTCTTGTTGAATTGATCCCTTTACCATTATGTAATGGCCTTCTTTGTCTCTTTTGATCTTTGTTGGTTTAAAGTCTGTTTTATCAGAGACTAGGATTGCAACCCCTGCCTTTTTTTGTTTTCCATTGGCTTGGTAGATCTTCCTCCATCCTTTTATTTTGAGCCTATGTGTGTCTCTGCACATGAGATGGGTTTCCTGAATACAGCACACTGATGGGTCTTGACTCTTTATCCAATTTGCCAGTCTATGTCTTTTAATTGGAGCGTTTAGTCCATTTACATTTAAAGTTAATATTGTTATGTGTGAATTTGATCCTGCCATTATGATGTTAGCTGGTGATTTTGCTCGTTAGTTGATGCGGTTTCTTCCTAGTCTCGATGGTCTTTACATTTTGGCATGATTTTGCAGCGGCTGGTAGCGGTTGTTCCTTTCCATGTTTAGTGCTTCCTTCAGGAGCTCTTGTAAGGCAGGCCTGGTGGTGAGAAAATCTCTCAGCATTTGCTTGTCTGTAAAGGATTTTATTTCTCCTTCACTTATGAAGCTTAGTTTGGCTGGATATGAAATTCTGGGTTGAAAATTCTTTTCTTTAAGAATGTTGAATATTGGCCCCCACTCTCTTCTGGCTTGTAGGGTTTCTGCCGAGAGATCTGCTGTTAGTCTGATGGGCTTCCCTTTGTGGGTAACCCGACCTTTCTCTCTGGCTGCCCTTAACATTTTTTCCTTCATTTCAACTTTGGTGAATCTGACAATTATGTGTCTTGGAGTTGCTCTTCTCGAGGAGTATCTTTGTGGTGTTCTCTGTATTTCCTGAATCTGAACGTTGGCCTGCCTTGCTAGATTGGGGAAGTTCTCCTGGATAATATCCTGCAGAGTGTTTTCCAACTTGGTTCCATTCTCCCCATCACTTTCAGGTACACCAATCAGACGTAGATTTGGTCTTTTCACATAGTCCCATATTTTTTGGAGGCTTTGCTCATTTCTTTTTATTCTTTTTTCTCTAAACTTCCCTTCTCACTTCATTTCATTCATTTCATCTTCCATTGCTGATACCCTTTCTTCCAGTTGATCGAATCAGCTACTGAAGCTTCTGCATTCTTCACGTAGTTCTCGAGCCTTGGTTTTCAGCTCCATCAGCTCCTTTAAGCACTTCTCTGTATTGGTTATTCTAGTGATATATTCTTCTAAATTTTTTTCAAAGTTTTCAACTTCTTTGCCTTTGGTTTGAATGTCCTCTCGTAGCTCAGAGTAATTTGATCGTCTGAAGCCTTCTTCTCTCAGCTCGTCAAAGTCATTCTCCATCCAGCTTTGTTCTGTTGCTGGTGAGGAACTTCGTTCCTTTGGAGGAGGAGAGGCGCTCTGCGTTTTAGAGTTTCCAGTTTTTCTGTTCTGTTTTTTCTCCATCTTTGTGGTTTTATCTACTTTTGGTCTTTGATGATGATGATGTACAGATGGGTTTTTGGTGTGGATGTCGTTTCTGTTTGTTAGTTTTCCTTCTAACAGAGAGGACCCTCAGCTGCAGGTCTGTTGGAATACCCTGCCGTGTGAGGTGTCAGTGTGCCCCTGCTGGGGGGTGCCTCCCAGTTAGGCTGCTCGGGGGTCAGGGGTCAGGGACCCACTTTAGGAGGCAGTCTGCCCGTTCTCAGATCTCAAGCTGCGTGCTGGGAGAACCACTGCTCTCTTCAAAGCTGTCAGACAGGGACATTTAAGTCTGCAGAGGTTACTGCTGTCTTTTTGTTTGTCTGTGCCCTGCCCCCAGAGATGGAGCCTACAGAGGCAGGCAGGCCTCCTTGAGCTGTGGTGGGCTCCACCCAGTTCGAGCTTCCCAGCTGCTTTGTTTACCTAATCAAGCCTGGGCAATGGCGGGCGCCCCTCCCCCAGCCTCGCTGCCGCCTTGCAGTTTGATCTCAGACTGCTGTGCTAGCAATGAGCGACGCTCCGTGGGCGTAGGACCCTCCGAGCCAGGTGCGGGATATAATCTCGTGGTGTGCCGTTTTTTAAGCCTGTCGGAAAAGCGCAGTATTCAGGTGGGAGTGACCCGATTTTCCAGGTGCCGTCCGTCACCCCTTTCTTTGACTCAGAAAGGGAACTCCCTGACCCCTTGCGCTTCCCAAGTGAGGCAATGCCTCGCCCCGCTTCAGCTCGCGCACAGTGCGCGCACCCACTGACCTGCGCCCACTGTCTGGCACTCCCTAGTGAGATGAACCTGGTACCTCAGATGGAAATGCAGAAATCAACCGTCTTCTGCGTTGCTCACGCTGGGAGCTGTAGACCAGAACTGTTCCTATTCGGCCATCTTGGCTCGGAATTCCTATTCGGTACATTTCAATGTCTTCCCATCTTTGTTAGGTAGAGTCTAACTTCCTTACCATGGTCTACAGTGGCCTTCAGAAAATGGCTACCTGCCACCTCCATGACGATCATGTTTCCCATTGCTCACTCCATTCCAGCCACACTGACTTTTTCATGATCCCTTGAACATGCCAAGCCCCTTTCTGCCTCAGAACCTTTGCATTTTCCATTGCCTCCATTGGGAAGGCTGTTGCCCCAGAGCTCTATGCGGCTCACCTTCTGACATGCTTCATGCCTTTCTGACATGTTATCTTATCAGAGAAAAGTTCCCTGGCTGTTTACCCAAGAAATAGTGGCATTTTCCTTTTACTCCCATCACTCTTGTCCCCTCACCCTGTTTTCTCTTTTATTTTGTTATGCATTCTTTGATACATATGAAATGTATGAACAATAATGCATGTCATGCATATTTATGTTATGAATAATTATGAACGAAGCAATGAAGTGAACACAACTGTTCTGTAGTTTCCTTCAGAGCACTGATGACTACCTGATGCTGTTTTTATAGTATCACTGCCTACTGTGACATAACAACCCCATGAGGCCTTAATACTGAGTTATTTACCACTGTCTCTTCAGTGTTTAGCTCAGTGTCTAGCACATAGTGAGTGTTCAATAATTGTTAAGTGAATAAATTTGTGAAGATAGATGACTAGCCATGTAATTTCTGAGACAAAAGAATTTCAAAGTACCCTTCGAAAGGTATGGTACTATACAATCCCACCGACAGTATATTGTTTCTTATTTGGTGTTTTTTTTAATGTGGGATACCTTTTGGAAACATGCAGGTTGTTAATTATAAATAAGAATGAATCACAGAACTCTGGCAGGCAATAAAAGTTACTCTTTTTCTCTTGCAGGGGATGGTGAGGGAAACTTATTAGACAATGAAGGAGTTTACCTCCAGCTTGCTTTCCACAATTTGGGAATAAGAGGGCTTCTCTCCCACCATGCTTTTTGGTTGGAAGAGAAGGTAGAGAGTAAGGCAAAAGGGTGGAGTAAATGTTCACACCCTAATCTCTGGAACTGAAATAAAAGGATTAGAGATTAAATATGATCAGAAAAAATGTTCTCTTTTGATGAAGTCTTCTCAGACTAGTCTGTGTACTATAGTAACCTCCATCTCATTTACTTTTTGGTTTGTAAGTTGTATTAAAGCTTCATTTACATACAATAAAATTCATACATTAAGTGTACAGATTGGTGATTTTATTCTCTTTATATTTCACTAAGTTTTTCATATTATTTTTACCTCCAAAGTTATACCTAATCATAGCTTTTTATTTTTGATAAATGTTGTGGAGAAATTTATTCTCACAAAATAAAAGCTAAAAAATCCAATGAGACCAGGTTTTAAAGATGTACAGTGTGAAAATTCTGAGGTTGTATAGCCTTCTCCCTATCAGTATTCTCTGTAATCTTTCTAGCATCACAAAATATCCATTGTCCCATCTGATTTCTATTTTTCCCTGTTTGTTTTTTGATAATTATTTAATCCATTTCTTGTGCTTATTGTATACATCCCTGGTTCTCTTTTTTTGAGGGAGAGACTAATTTACCCATTTATCTGGTGATTTTTTGACAATAAAAATATTATTCAAATTTTGATGTGAAGAAAAATTATTGAATGTAAAAAATGGCACACACTGATAGTATTTTAAATGCTGTGTGACCCTGAGTGACTTCTTTGGATAACGAGGTAGAGGATTGTTTCCTACCGAAAGGACACCCTGTATTTGATCTTTAACAATTGCACTTTAGTGGGCAGAGCTTGATCAAGGCAAGATGATTAGACTAGGAGATAAAAGACCTGGCCTAGTCACCACCAGCTAGCTCCTGGATTCACAGCCGAATTGGAAAGTCAGGATACATGACACATAATGGCAATACAAAGCAACAATGGAGACCTTTCTAGAAAGTTGTGAGGAATGTTCACATGAGGGAGATGAATTCCAGCTGCTGGCATCAAGGAAAGTTCCATTGAGAGGGTAGCCTCTGGAACTTGGTGATTCTTGGAATTCGACTTTGGAGATGGAGAAACAAATAGAGAAAATAATGTGAGAAAACACAGATGCCAGAAAGTATGGGGTATATATAGGGAGCACTGGACATTTTTTTTTGGAACATGAGTTGTATTGGATGCAAAACGTGAGTTGAAGCTGAAAAAATAATTTGGACAAAATCTTGGAATGGACAAATGTCCCCCTTTAAAACTCTAGTCTCACCTGATCATACACTCTCCTTGCCTTGACTCTCCTTTGTTTAGTTGAATTGTATTGTTCTCTTCAAAACTAACTTGGCTAAATAAAGAGAAGCCAATACATTGTG
The DNA here is from genome assembly GCF_000001405.40 of Homo sapiens. Taxonomy (NCBI): domain Eukaryota; kingdom Metazoa; phylum Chordata; class Mammalia; order Primates; family Hominidae; genus Homo; species Homo sapiens. Next base: position 157,267 of record NW_025791818.1, on the reverse strand, counting down.
AAAATACAAATGACCACATGCAAAGATGTCCAACATTGTTAGCCTTAGGGAAACACAAATGAAAGCCACAGTGAGACATTGCTACACATTTATCAGAATGGCTAAAATAAAACATAATAACAATACCAAATGCTGGTGAGGATGCAGAGAAATTGGGTCACTTCTACATTATTGGTAGAATGTAAAATGGTATAGCTGCACTGGAAAACATTTTAGTAATTTCTTAAGAAACAAAACATGCAACTACAACGTAACTCAGCAATAACTCAGCACTTCTGGGCAGTTATCCCAGAGCAATGAAAACTTACATTCACACAGAAATCTATACGACAATGTTTGTAGCCCAAAATTGGGGAAAAACACCAAGATGTCCTTCAATGGGTAAATGGTTAAACAATCTGTAGCACATCCATATCATACCAGTGACAAAAAGGAATACACTATTGATACATGCAACAACTTGGATGAATCTCAAGGGCATTATGCAGAGTGAAAAAGCCAATCTCAAGTGGTTACATAATGGATGATTTAATTATGTATCTAATGTTTTTGAAGGGAGAAATTTTGAGAAATGGAGAAAAGATTGGTAATTGCCAGGGGCTACAGATAGGGATAAAAATGTGGGAGCAAAGTGAGTGAGGCTGCAATATGAGGGATCTTGTGGTGATGGAGATGTTCAGTATCTTGACTGTGATGGTGGTGTCACACACACACACGTGCACATACACACACACACAAACAGAGAAATGAGTACAGGTAAAACTAGGGAACTCTGAATAAGATCAGTGGATTATATCAATATCAATATCTTGGTTGTGATATTATGCTTTTGCAAAATGTTACCATCGGGGGAAACTTGATAAAGTGTACACGGAATTCTCTGCATTATTTTTTGCAGCTGCAAAGGGATCTACAATAATCTCAATGAAAATTGCAGTTAAAAAAATCCCAATGGCATAAGGTTCTCAAACCCAATTTTCTAAATTACGTATGTTGTTAACTAACATCAATCCTTAAACAGCAAGCATGTCTTCAGTTCCTTGGCCTGGCCTCTACCCCACTAATTAATCTTCATGTGGTAAGAGTCATCTTATTTTCTATCTTTCAAAGACTGGTCAATGTATTTTCTTTTTCAACGCGTGCAAAAGTCCAGGCTCTAACATTGCCACCTACTTAGGATTCTCGTATTGAGCTCTGGTTTCTAATTTGTGAGACCTGCCTCATTCACAGCCAATTGAAACAATGAATGTCTGTAACTTCCAGGTGAGATCTGATCCCCAGATGTGGCAGTCATGAAAGTTCACTCCTCAGATCACCCTTCAAGAAAGAACCTGCTGTTCATATGCAGGGGATGCAGTGAGTTGGCATCCTCCAGGTGCAGCACCTTCAGGATCTGCCTCAGAGTGTGGGGGAAGGCCACACTTACTGAGTGGTATTTAGCCAATGATTGGGCATGATGTGGTTGCTAGTGCCTGTCCTTTAGGGGATGCCTCTAATGGACAATCTTTGCTCCAGAGCTTCTCACTGGGTTTTCCAAGACTTTCTCAGATATGCAGTTTGATGTGAAGCTCTTCCTGCTAAATCTTGATTTCCTCCTCCTTTCCTTTCACAGGTATCATATCTGTAAGGCAATCTGAAGGCCCTTTCTGCTCATCTGCTTTATTCCCTTTTCAGCTTTCACAGGCATTACTCCCCAATGAATTTCTTGTGTTCCTAACTTTTTGTTAAAAGCTGTTTCTTGGATACCCAAAATGACATACAATAAAAGTAGCTTAAAAACCTCTCTGGTTATAGGCCCACAGTATAGCAATTCTTTGTCTGAACAGAATCCGTGACATCCTTACTAAAAAATTATGAACATTCAATAACAGGAGGGTTGTTCTCTCTTGTTGGTGGTTACAGTCAGTATAGTTCAGGTGTTCTTGCTCTATCATAAAATTGGGTTTGGGTGGTAGGTGGCTGAAATGAAATGCTGATAAAGCAAAGTCCATGGGATTGAAGAGTAAGGAGGAACTGAAGTGGGTGCATTTATTGGGACACCAATGTGGAAGTCAATGTTCCAGTGTCTTCTACTAACATCTGTCTTCTACTAGAAGAAGATTCCCAGCTGTTACATCTGACACCTATTTATTAGATTGGTTAAATTTTATGTTTCTTGAAGTTAAGTGGTGGTCTCCTTAAGGCCAAGGGTAACAGCTCACACAAAGACTTGGTCAAGCTCCCCTTCACTGCTCTAAAGAAATATCTAGATTTAAGCTAGTAATCTCATGGCTATCTGTAAAATCTATGATATCTTAAAGTTATTGCAAGAATATTACAGGCTTTTGATTTTAAAAAT